>NT_187670.1:0-184516 GCF_000001405.40 Homo sapiens | reverse complement strand
GAATTCCCCATGAGTCCTGTGACCTCAGCCCACACGGGGACCTACAGGTGCTACGGCTCACTCAGCTCCGACCCCTACCTGCTGTCTCACCCCAGTGGCCCCGTGGAGCTCGTGGTCTCAGGTGAGGGCGCTGACCCTGTCCTCTCTGAGCTCAAAGGCTCAGCTCAGGCCCTGCCCCCAGCAGAGCTCTGGACACTAAGGAAAGAGGGGAGTGAAGGGAGAGGGTCCGCAGGGGAGGGTCCAGCCCATGGGAAGATGGAAATAGACAGGGACCTCCCACCCCTGGCTCCCACCCCTGAAGTCTCAGTAGAGTAAAGTGCAGGGAGGGCTGGGAGGAGACGGGGGGTGAACCTCAAAGGAGTTGAGATTAGACTGAGGGTGGAAGACGGAGGCCCCACCTGCTCCCATCCTGGTGTCTCCACCTCAGAATCAGAGCCTCTGTGTCCCAGTCCCCAACAGACGCCCTCCTGGAGAGAGAAGCATCCAGGCTGCCGGTGCCACCTGCATCCACCCCCGACCCCCCCCCACCCCGCCCCACTTCCTGCTTTCCCCTGCAGCCTCCCCAGCACTCAGCGCACACCTGAGCCTCACAGGGACTTGCACGTGCTCCCGCAGCAGCTCAGGGAATGTGCACCGCTCCTCTTCTGCGCCGTTGACATTTTTTATTTGGGTTTTTAAAATCTCATATTGGCCTTTTTGTCCAAGCTGGTGAAAGTAGATTTGCAGCATCACCTATTTTTATTCTCACCCGGTTTCGTAATAGCCCTGATCTCACGTGCTCCCTGAGGTTTTGTAAACTTCAGGTAGAAATGTGGACTTCCTTCGTTCTGGACATTTGCTATGGAGGGGGTAGGGCTTATCTTTTCAGAAAAAGTCAAATGACTGGTACCACTCCTTGAAACCCTACAGCACTTTCCAGACCTCAGAGGGAGGGAGAGAGAGGCAGAGACAGAGACAGAGAGACAGAGAGAGAGATATTGGGGCCGCTCTTTCCTGGCCGGTTCATCCTGGCCTATTCTCAATCCACCAAGGCCCCGAAGCTCATCTCCCCTCCTCCTCTGCCTCCTCCTCCACCCTGTAGACAAGCGGCCATTCCTTTCTGAAGAACAGGCTGAGACCTTTCTGGGACCTGCTCTTTCTGGAGCCTCTGTTGCTCCCTGTCTGGGTCTCCACACGCCTCCTTCCTGGCCCTTTTTCCTATTGAGGAATCAGCTTCAATGTCACCTCCAAGTGTGACCTTCACTGACGACACAGCTCAGCCCAGTCCTGCCTGCTTCTCATTTATGTCAAGTAATTAACCAACCTACACCATGCGGCTGAATTCCTTCTCTCTCTCTTCCACTCTCTGCATATACGTGTGTGTGTGTGTGTGCGCGTGTGTGGTCACACCAACATCTTACGTGACATTGAAACCTAGTTATCCGTATATCTATACAAATAATATATATTCACACATAAATATAGGTCTCTACCAATATATCTAAAACCATTGCTACGACTAGTAAATTTCCACTGCTGTGTTTCTATATGTTTGCTGTTTGTCTCCAGGTGAACCCACACTTCAAGAAGGCAGAGATAGTTTTTAAGGCCCACTATATATATAAAACAGATATATATTTGTGTTTGTGTTTTTCTGTGTGTGTATCACATTCTACCTGTTGCTGCCTATACGAATAATTAGCTACCTAGAGATTAAATGGACAATGAAACTCCAGGTGAAGTGGCTGAGGGCATGAAGGGGAGGCAGCCCCAGAATTTCACCCCTTTGTGCTTCTGACATTGAGGCTCCCCTGATGACTAACCCTCATCCACGGAGCCTGGGTCCTCAGCTGGTGGATCCGTGAAACTCTCATCTCCGGGGGAGTTGGCTCATGTTCTCCTGTGTCCCAGGCTGCACAGAGAGCACACAGGCCTTAGTGACCTCTGTACTGGGGACCACTTTCCTTGCAGATCCTGAGCTCTCAGGATGCAGGAAAACTCTCTCCCAGATGACTCAGGAGCAATGTTTAAATCCATAGAACACAGGAAAACTGAAATCGTTCAATGAGGAGACTAGAGGGAATCCTGCTAGCGGAGGAAGAGGTTTTTTTTTTTTTTTTTTAGAAATTCTGTAAAAGTCACATCATGAGACATTAAGTAATAAAAAAAAAATTGCAGAGCCCAGGTGAGAGGCTGGGCTCAGGTCTCTTTTTCTCTGTTTTGATTCTCTGGAGCAGCTGATACCCTCAGCCCATCACAAAACAAGTCTGACTCTGAGACTGGTATGTGAGGAGATACTCTCAGTGATGGGGCTGGCACTGAGGGTTGGGTCCTGTGAAGGGGAGGTGGGTGCCCTGGGTGGACAATCTGATCCACCCTGACCTCTGTGACCTCTTTGTCCACCATCCCCAGCCTCACACCTTCAGGATTACGCAGTGGAGAATCTCATCCACATGGGCGTGGCTGGCTTGATCCTGGTGGTCCTCGGGATTCTGTCATTTGAGGCTTGGCACAGCCAGAGAAGCTTCCCAAGATGCAGCCGGGAGGTGAACAGCAGAGAGGATAATGTACTTTATAGAGTCGTGAAGCCTCAGGAACAGATCTGATGATCCCAGGAGGTTCTGGAAGAAAATCTAGGGCCGATGCTATCTGGACTGTCTGCTGGTCATTTCCAGAGGAAGGAATCAATGTCCGAGTGCAGGGACATTTTCTGGGGTGATCCATGGAGAACCATTAAAATGTGATACCTTTCCTCTCCATTAATGTTGACTTTCCTTGGTTGGATCTGCCTCTTTTCCCACACTTAGACATGAGGCTCCATCCCACATGGCAGCGTTGGGTCCACACCTCTGCACACCTGCATGCTCTGGTCCATGGCGTGTCACACAGTCCTCTTCATTTCTCATTGCCACACTTCCTGGTGTACTTTACTGGGTCTTCATGTCTTCAGTTCAGAGTTCCGCACCTGGTTTAGGAACTAATTCAACGGGAGAAGATCAGAGTCCGACCAGGAAAAGATAAATGCACCGTGATGCCCTCACCTCCTGTGTGGACCCTATGAGCTCTTCCCTCCTTATCAGATGCTATCTGTGTAGTTTCTCCTGAAATATCACCACCTGGAATCAACACACTGGCATTTGAAGTCACGACCCAATGGTATGCTAATTCTGAAAAAGACATTTTTTGAAATGCTATGATTAGTGGCATTTACCAATTTCCTTGACGTAAATTCTTTTTTCATGGCCATAATCAAGATGCCAACGAGACATCCCTGAATGCAGGGTTGGGAAGCGTTGGACAGACTTGTCTTCACTCATAAGCACCAGGCATCTGATAGCTCACGTATACATCTTATTACCTTCCATTTTAGAGTGAATAATCATTTCTACTTCAGTATTTTGGCACAGGTAAAAGCAGTCCCATTACTGCGCGTATACCCAAAGGAATATAAATCATTCTATTGCAAAGATACATGCACACATGTGTTCATCGCAGCACTATTCACAATAGCAAAGACATAGAATCAACCCAAATGCCCATCAATGATAGACTGGATAAAGAAAATGTGAGACATATACACCACGGAATACTATGAAGCCATAAAAAGAAACAAGATCATGTCCTTTGCAGGGACATGGATGGAGCTGGAAACCATTATCCTCAGGAAACTAACACAGGAACAGGAAATCAAACGCTGCATGTTCTCACTTACAAGTGGGTGCTGAACAATGAGAATGCGTGAACACAGGGAGGGGAACAACACACACTGGGGCCTGTCGGGGGGGGGGTGGGGTAGGGGTAGGGAGAGCATTAGGAAAAATAGCTAATGTATGCTGGGCTTAATACCTAGGTGATGGGTTGACAGGTGCAGGAAACCACCATGGCGCACATTGACCTATGCAATAAGCCCACACATTCTGCACATGTACCCCGGAACTTAAAATAAAAATAAAAATTAAAATTAAATTATGACACCATGATCCTAGCATATCCAAAAAAGACAAAAATGCCAATATCAAATGTCGGAGAAAATAGGGCTGAATTAAAAATCCAATACAACGCCGGGCGCAGTGGCTCACGCCTGTAATCCCAGCACTTTGGGAGGCCAAGGTGGGTGGATCACTTGAAGTCAGGAGTTTGAGACCAGCCTGGCCAAACGTGGTGAAACCCTGCCTCTACTAAAAATACAAAAATTAGCCGGGTGTGGTGGCACTCGCCTGTAGTCCTAGCTACTAGGGAGGCTGAGGCAGGAGAATCACTTGAACCCGGGAGGCGGAGGTTGCAATGAGCTGAGATCATGCCACTGAACTCCAGCCTGGGTGACAGAGCGAGACTCCGTCTCAAAAAAAAAAACAAAAAAAAAAAACCCTCAAAAGCTCAGGCAGCAAAAGCAAAAATAGGCAAATGAGATCATAGCAAACTGCAAACCTTCTGCACAATCAAGGAAACAAACAGCAGAGTGAAGAGACCACCTACAGAATGGGAAAGAATATTTGCAAGCAAGAGATTAATCTCCAGAAAATACAAGGAGCTCAAACAATGCAGAGGTTTTGAAGGATGGTGATGAGAAGGTTCTGCTACTTACAGAAAGGAAGTTTAGGAGAAACAAAACCACAAACCTAGGTGGTGGGATGGCTTGATCTGCTTCTGTCTGTGACTCACTTAACAGTCTTAAACACATCTCCCTAAGCCTCCTTCCCCCGGTGGGATTCCTGGGTCTTGTGAGGACCTCATCGGTCCCTCTGGTAAACCCAGGCACAGAGTGGAGCAGCTCTTGTTTTCTCAGGATCTTCCCCTTCACATACAATTAACGCACCCACACGATGCTACTCTTAGAACCCTTCAAATAAATGTTTCCCGGTTCATTCACTACCAGAATCCAAGCTCAGCTTGTTCCCCAGCTTAGGACTGAGTGGTATCTTGGAGGTAGTTTCCACCATAGCCCCCTTCCTCTGCTATAAGGCTCAGTGACACACCAGAGACACCCCCTCCAGCCAGGCTCCTGGAAGGTCTGGATGAAGACTGGGATGCTGAGGCATTGCTCAGCAATGTGGCTTAACTCAAACTTCTATGTGAAACTTCCAACCACTTTCAGCAAGGGGTCACTTCCAGCGTCTTGGGGTGTGAGGGCACTTTGGTTGGTCCCTGCAATATCAGACCCTATAAAGATCCTACAAACATGTTGCAGACTCTTTGAAGATTCTGGCACTTTCAGACATGCTGTTGGGAAATGGTGACACCCATAACCTTCTAGTTCCAGGACAGGGAGCCTTAGCCCAGGGCTATGTTTTCTGAGGGTCCTCAAAGTAAACAGTTCTATGTGCCAGGAGAACCCTAAATCTCATATGGTTCTAAGGGCAGAAAGCCACACACGCACCGGCAAAAAGCAAGAGATTCAAGGAAAAGCTGAGCAAAGACAGACAGGAAAACACACACATGATGAGCCAGCTTGTAGAGCTAGAACTGAGATGGAGAGAGGCACGAGTGGGTAACAGAGTGTGCTCCCCAGAACAGGTGGAGAGAATGCCTTTTTCATGCCCTGAGGATAGGCTGGGTAAGGCTTGTGCTCGACAGTCAAGGACTATTTTTTTCCCCAGGCGTCTACAAGAGACCTTCCTTCTCAGCTCAACTGTGCCCTGCAGTAAGTAATGATGGAGAGAATGTGACTTTGCTCTGCAGCTCTGGAAGCTCATTTGACCTGTGCCTTCTAACGAGGAAGGTAAGGCCCCTGGACACTGGCTCACTGGGGTGCAGAGACAGAGTGGGGCATTCAGGCCAACTTCTCTCTGGGTCTTGGGGCTGGTGATGGGACCTCTAGATGCTGCAGCTCTCTGTCGATGGCTCTGCCTGTGAGTGATCAGCCCTAGATGACCACTGTTACTGGGGGTAGCCCATGCCTGCTGCATGCCCTGTGAAACACTAAATCATATAGCCACGTCTGAGGGACAGCCTGCTGGAGACATGGGAATCTTAGGGATTCCAGACAAAATGAAGCAATGAGAAACACAAAGAGGAAAAGAGAGGTTGAGTATGACAGTGGTGTCAGGGTGTAGGGTGGTAGACAGGGCAGCTCCACACTCTCCACTGCTTCCTGTCTGGAGGCCCACTTTGGGGTCCTACTTATCCAGGTGAGTGAAGGAAGAGGTCAGGACAAACACAGGAGGTGAAGCCAGATACAGTGTGGGGAGATAAGCAGTGGCCTCAGCCTCTAGCCCTTTTCCATCTTCCAGAAGCCCCTCCTGAGCTCTCATCACAGACAGATTTCCCATTTGGAAACCCAGATATTTATCATGCCGGGGGGGGGAGGCAATGTCTCTTGATTATGGGGACTTTCCATCACCAGGCACCTGCTAGTCCTCTCTATACCTTCCCTTCAGGAAAGGAATTGTCCCTCATGGGATTCCAGGGAAGAGACCCCAGGACCCCTATCAGTCACTAGGGAGATGACAGAGTAGAGGAAGTCAGGGGACCAACCCTCCACAGAGAATGGTCCTACTTCAGTGGGGTGAGGGAAACTCTCACTCATCCATTTGCTGTCCTGTTACCTCGGAACCCTAAGAGAACTTGTTAGTCACACACAGAATCTACCCCTGAATGTGGTGTGCAAAGTGGGGCTCTTAGCCTCCAGTGTGAAGTCCCTGGGAAGATGGAATGTCCCTGTGTGAGTGAAGGCTGTGCCACCGCCCAGCTATGTGGCCTTGGGCTAGGCAACCCCTCCCAGGTCCCCAGTTCCCCATCTGCATCGGAGACTGTGGCCAGTGCGGGAATCCACAAGGCCCTTCAGCCTCCAAAGCTCTGGGACAGAGGCCTCGTCCACAGGGAGGAAGGGGTCAGAGTGACCTGAGTCCCTACTCAGGAGCGAGTCTAATCCACTCTCCATCGGGGCCTGTGGGGAAGGGAAGATGAAGAAACGGAGCCTGCACCTGGCTATGTGGGCGCAGTAGATTAAGGGGAGGATGAGGGTTCCTGAGAGTGTGTCATGTGGCAGAGACCCTGCAGCACACTCAGGAAGGGCTCTGGAAGGATCCAAGGAAATTTTCCAAGAAGAGGGCAGAGTAAGTGACAGAGACCCTCAACCATGGATTTCACTGAGGTGCCCATGATGACATAGGGAGAACGGGGGTGTCTGGGCAGGAAGAATATCGTCAGGGTGAAATGAATGGTGATGAGCTTCGTGTCAGAGCTCCTGTGGAGGGAGGGGCCTGGCCCACATGAAAAGGTCTCTGATCCTACCCCAGCCCCCAGCCCCTGTTCTCCAGGATGACACTGTGGGAATTCCATCAGGAGGGGTGTGATAGGGCTGGTCTTCCTGGCTCGATTCACAACACTGGCTGGGGACTGGGAACCCATGGGGAGCCACAGGTGGAAAGGGAGGAGCCTCAGTGAACCCAGCAGGAACAAACATAGGGTCTGACATGATGGAACTCACTTCCTGGAGGCCAAGAAAGACACTTGCGGGACAAAAGGGAAAGAGCGGTGGCTTGCTTAGTTCCATTCACTGACAACCCACAGGAGATGTCCAGTCCTTTTTTGATTTATTATTTTATTTTATTATATTTTATTTTATTTTATTTTATTTTCACATGGAGTTTTGCTCCTATTGGCCAGGCTGGAGTGCAATGGCACGATCTTGACTCACTGCAACCTCCACCTCTCAGGTTCAAGCGATTCTCCTGCCTCAGCCTCCTGCATAGCTGGGATTACAGGCGACTGCCACCACAGCCAGGTAATGTTTGTATTTTTAGTAGAGATGAGGTTTTGCCATCTTGGCCAGGCTGGTCTCAAACTCCTGATCTCATGTGATCCGCCTGTATCAGACTGCCAAAGTGTTGGGATTACAGGCGTGAGCCACCACACCCAGCCTTTTGTATTTTTAGTAGAGATGGGGTTTCACCATGTTGGTCAGGCTGGTCTTAAACTCCTGACCTCAGGTGATCCATCCACCTCGGCCACCCAAAGTGCTGGGAGTACAGATGTTAGCCACCGTACCCAGCGAGAGTTTCAGTGCTCTATCGGATTCCCTGCCTACTCCATGTTGCATGTAATGTTCCACCTCAGGGATGTTTCTCTCCTTTCTGTCTCCTTCCTCTTCTCCTTCTCCTTTTTTCTTTCTAATTTTTATTTTTTTGAGACAGAGCCTTGCTCTGTTACCCAGGCTAGAGTACAGTGGCACGATCCCAGCTCACTGCAACCTCTGCCTCCTGGGTTCAAGAGATTCTCCTGACTCAGCCTCTCAAGTAGCTGGGATTACAGGCACCCGCCATCACACCCAGCTAGTTTTTGTATTTTTAGTAGAGACGAGGTTTCACCATGTTGGCCAGACTGGTCTTGAACTCCTGCCCTCAGGTAATCCACCCGCCTGTGGCCCCCCAAAGTGCTGGGATTACAGGCGTGAGTCACCACTCCCAGCCCTGAATGATCTTTCCTCTTTAGTGTGTTCTCACAACCACCTCTCACTGAGCTTTCTTGTTTTTTGTTTTTGTTTTTGTTTTTGTTTTTGTTTTTGGCAGAGTCTGGCTTTGTTGCCTATGCTGGAGTGCAGTGGTGCAATCTCAGCTCACTGCAACCTCCGTCTCCTGGGTTCAAGCGATTCTCCCACCTCAGCCTCCTGAGTAGCTGGGATTACAGGCACCCACCACCACACCCAGCTAATTTTTGCATTTTTAGTAGACACAGGGTTTCACCATGTTGGTCAGGCTGGTCTCGAACTCCTGACCTTGTGATCTGCCAGCCTCAGCCTCCCAAAGTGCTGGAATTACAGGCATGAGCCACCACTCCCAGCCCTGGATTATCTTTCCTCTTTAGTGTGTTCTCACAACTACCTCTCACTGCTGGGTTTTCTCTCTTTCTTTTTTTTTTTTTTTTTTTTTTTTTTTGAGACAGTCCGGCTTTGTTGCCCAGGCTGGAGTGCAGTGGCGCGATCTCGGCTCACTGCAAGCTCCACCTCCCAGGTTCAAGCGATTCTCCCACCTCAGCCTCCCTAGTAGCTGGGATTACAGGCGCATGCCAGCACACCCAGCTAGTTTTTGTATTTTTAGTAGAGACAGGGGTTTCACCATGTTGGTCAGGCTGGTCTTGAACTCCTGACCTTGTGATCTTCCTGCCTCGGCCTCCCAAAGTGCTGGGATTACAGGTGTAAGCCACTGCACCCAGCCAGCTTTCTCATTCTTATCCCTTAGTTCTCTGCCAGGGAATAAGATAGAAACCATTCCCTCAACCACATTCTAGTCATGGTCCCTATTCTCATGTTTCCACTTCTCTCTCTTTGGTAATAAATCAATTAATTGAGAAACAAGTAGCTAAATGTTCATCTTCTGCTAGTCTGCATCCCCTTATTTTCCCAGAGCCTCCCCTAATGAAACTGACTTTATTTACTGAACGCAGGAAATGGGTCTCTCCAGATCAGGATGACTTTCTGCTGGGAAATATTTGTCTTTGCATCAGTGGGGAAAAAGAAAGCCGATGTCATGAGTGGAGGCTCTGAGAAAATAAGGGCTGTGTTTTCAGTTTAGACCCAGCTAAGTTGGGAGCTGACATAGATATGATGTTGGGTCCACCCTCCACGGGCAGGTTTTCAGACAAAGGATCCCTGGCAATCAGGGGACACCTCAGGTCTGGGCTGAGATGTGTGCAGAGGGCCTGGGTCCTCCTGAGCCCCTGCACTGGGGGGGGAATAAGAGACAGGCCCAGCAAGGGGCTGTCCACTTCCTGTGGGTTCACAGCTGTGGGGACCCAGGCAGGCGGCAGCAGGCTCTGACTTAACCACATCCGTGCATCTGTCTGTCATGGAGGGCCATGTGGTCACCTGTCCCACAGCTGGAGCACGCAGAGCAGGCATCATGGTGTCCATCCTCACTGTTCTTCTGTGCCTCAGTCAGTGGTGGAGAGACGAGGGACAGGAGGGGCACTGGGCTGAGGTGGGGAGGGTCCCACAGCAGCCTTGTTCACCAGAGAGCCTCAGGGCTCCAGTGGCTACTGGTGCTCCAACAGGAAGGGAAGCAGCCACACCTCTGTGTTCCAAATCCCCCACAGGAAACTCTTCTCCATGGCTGAGTCTGGGCCAGAAAGCCCAAGCACTTGCAGGTGAGTCTCTGCTAACCTCCCATGCCTGACCTCACACTCAGCACCTGGACTCTCATCTCAGGGGCTTCTGAACTGAGGGTGAGAAAATCAAGAGGGTCTGTGACCTGAGCTGGGAATGAGGAGCGGGGGAGGTCTGTGGACCCCAGCCTGTGGTTTCTTCCAGGGACCCTCCCCAAACCCAGCCTCTGGGCTGAGCCAGGCTCTGTGATTACCTGGGAGAGCCCCATGACCCTCTGGTGCCAGGGGACCCTGGATACCCAGGGTTACTATCTCACCAAGGAAGGAAACCCCATGACCTGGTACCAACAGAGCCCACCAGAGCCCAGGAACAAGACCAACTTCTTCATCCCATCCATGAGAGAGCACCATGCAGGGAGATACCACTGTCACTATCTCAGCCCTGCAGGCTGGTCAGAGCGCAGCGAGCCCCTGGAGCTGGTGGTGACAGGTAAGAGGACACTCAGGGGTCCCAGCCCCAGGCTCTGCCTGCAGGAAGGGGGTCAGCTCTCAAGGGCATCTCCGTTCTAATAACTCAGCCCTGGGGGATGATGTGGGACGCGTGAGCCCCATTTAAGACAGTGTCTCCTTCTCTCCTAGGAGCCCACAGAAAACCCACTCTCTCAGCCCTGCCGAGCCCTGTGGTGACCTCAGGAGAGAACGTGACCATCCAGTGTAGCTCAAGGGTGGGATTTCACAGGTTCATTTTGATTGAGGAAGGAGAAAACAAGCTCTCCTGGATGCTGGACTCACAGGAACTCTCCAAGGGGCTGTCCCTTGTCCCTGGCCCTGTTCCCTGTGGGCCGTGTGGCTGCCAGTCACCGGTGGATGTTCAGATGCTATGGGCATTACACGAACTTCCCCTGGGTGTGGTCGGAACCCAGTGATACCATGGAGATCCTGGTCTTAGGTATGGATGTCTTCCTCCTTGCCCTATTTATTTTTGAGAACTTACTCTCACGGAGCCCCATGTAGGAGGGTGGAACAAGGGAAGTTTGGGACTCCTGAGCCCAGAGACACTGAGTGTGAGAGACAGTGAGACCTGCAGGGCCAGGAGGGGAGAAGGAAGGGGTGTGGGAGGAACCAGCCCTCCTAGTCCCGACTCTTCTTTCCCTCCAGGCGTGTCTAGGAAGCCCTCCCTCCTGACCCTGCAGGGCCCTGTCGTGGCCCCTGGGGAGAATCTGACCCTCCAGTGTGGCTCTGATGTCGGCTATGACAAATTCACTCTGTACAAGGAGGGGGGACATGACCTCGTCCAGGGCTCTGGCCGGCAGCCCCAGGCTGGGCTCTCCCAGGCCAACTTCACCCTGGGCCCTGTGAGGGTCTCCCACGGGGGCCAGTACAGATGCTACGGTGCACACAACCTCTCCTCCGAGTGGTCGGCCCCCAGTGACCCCCTGAGCATCCTGATCGCAGGTGAGGAGCCCAGCAGGTTCAGTCAGGGACCCAGGCTCCGCACAGGCCCTGCTGGGGGAGCCCAGGTGGTGATGGCCGGGATGAGGGGTGGGGGTCCTAAGGGACGGAGAGACAGACAGAGACAGGGGATGGGCGGGGAGGGGGAGACTCAGAGAAAACAGAGACAGAGACACTGAGGGTCCCAGGGAGAGGCCTGGGGAGGTGTCAGCTCAGAACGAGGTGGGGCAGCCCCTCACCCATCCTTCTTCTCTCCAGGACAGATCCGTGGCAGACCCTCCCTCTCGGTGCAGCCGGGCCCCACGGTGGCCTCAGGAGAGAACGTGACCCTGCTGTGTCAGTCACGGGAGCAGTTGGACACTTTCCTTCTGACCAAGGAGGGGGCAGCCCATCACCCACTGCGTCTGAGATCAGAGCACCAAGCTCAGCAGCACCAGGCTGAATTCCCCATGAGTCCTGTGACCTCAGCCCACGCGGGGACCTACAGGTGCTACAGCTCACGCAGATTCTTCCCCTACCTGCTGTCTCACCCCAGTGACCCCCTGGAGCTCGTGGTCTCAGGTGAGGCCGCTGACCCTGTCCTCTCTGAGCTCAAACCTCAGCTCAGGCCCTGCCCCCAGGAGAGCTCAGGACGCTAAGGAAAGAGGGGAGTAAAGGGGGAGGGTCGGCAGGGGAGGGCCCAGCCCATGAGAGGGTGGAAATAGTCAGGGACCTCCTAATCCTGGGCTCCCACCCCAGAGACCTCAGATGGGGCTAAAGGCCAGGGAGGGCTGAAATGAGATATGGAGAAACCTTGGAGGAATCATGCTTAGGCTGAGGGTAGAAGATGGAGGCCCCACCCACTCCCCACCTGGGCTCCCCTGGCGGCCCCAAAATACTCAGTGCATACCTGAGACGAAGGGGAGATCATGCACCTGCTCACTGCAGCAATGCAGGCAAATTATTCAACAGCAAACCTCGTGTGCAATTCCTTTCTGTCCTTTATTTTTTATGTCCACATATCTAGTTTCTCTTTCTGTTTCTGAAGATTTCAAAGCAATGCTGGCATTTATAATTTACACATTTAATTTGTTAGGTAGCGTTATGATGTAAAATAACTGTGCTCTGATTTTCTTTGGGATTAAATTAAATATGTGCATTCATGATGGAGAATAACTTCTCATTAATAATGTCTTTGTATCCAATACATTTAAAATTAAACTTTATACAGTTAGCAGATGCTTGAAGTTGTATTCATAAAAATTGTGGACATTGTGAATTTTAAGCATTGTTTTACTACTTGAATAATTTGAAAGTCTTTGATTCCTTTCTATTTTCTAAAATTAGTTACGTATGGATGAGAAAGCTATTGGTTTGGGTATGCTAATTTTAGTTCCTATTAACTTACCACAGACACACTCCCTTTCAATCCTTTCCGAAATGATCTCTTCTGATTTATTGATAATAATTACATTAACCACAAGAAAATGGAGGACAAACTTGTTTGTTTCTAAATTATATAATACTCTTCTCACTTCAAATATATATGTATGTGTTTATATATACTCACACACTATTATATATCTTATAATATATATTATGTATTATATATTTATATATACACTATTATATATCTTATATATTATGTATTATATATTTATATATACCCACACATTATTATATCTTATAATATATATTATGTATTATATATTTATATATACCCACACATTATTATATCTTATAATATATATTATGTATTATATATTTATATATGCACTATTATATATCTTATATATTATGTATTATATATTTATATTACCCACACATTATTATATCTTATAATATATATTATGTATTATATATTTATATATACACACACTATTATATATCTTATTATATATTATGTATTATATATTTATATATACTATTATATATCTTATAATATATAATGTATTATATATTTATATATACACACACTATTATATATCTTATATATTATGTATTATATATTTATATATACATACTATTATATATCTTATAATATATTATGTATTATATATTTATATATATACACTATTATATATCTTATTATATATTATATATTTATATATGCACACACTATTACATATCTTATTATATATTTATATGTATACACACACTATTATATATCTTATTATATATTATGTACTATATATTTATATATACTATTATATATCTTATAATATATAATGTATTATATATTTATATATACACACACTATTATATATCTTATATATTATGTATTATATATTTATATATACATACTATTATATATCTTATAATATATTATGTATTATATATTTATATATATACACTATTATATATCTTATTATATATTATATATTTATATATGCACACACTATTACATATCTTATTATATATTTATATGTATACACACACTATTATATATCTTATTATATATTATGTACTATATATTTATATATACTATTATATATCTTATAATATATAATGTATTATATATTTATATATACACACACTATTATATATCTTATATATTATGTATTATATATTTATATATACATACTATTATATATCTTATAATATATTATGTATTATATATTTATATATACACACTATTATATATCTTATTATATATTATATATTTATATATGCACACACTATTACATATCTTATTATATATTTATATGTATACACACACTATTATATATCTTATATATTATATATTTATATATACTCACACTATATCTTATAATACATATTATGCATACACATATGCATAATACATATTATCTATACACATATGCATAATACATATTATGTATACACATATGCATAACACATATTATGTATACACACATATTTACACCTATGCATATATGTATGTATGTATGCGAATGTACCTCTGCCACGGCAGGGAAAGGTTCTATCACACAACTACAGAGCAGTTAGGAGAAGTGTAGACACAAAGGAATGCAGCAACTGAGGGACATGTTGGCTTAAGTCTCTTCAACTCCTCACACACCTCCCCCTTTTTTGGTTGATTCTCAGGAGCAGCTGAGACCCTCAGCCCATCGCAAAACAAGACAGACTCCAAGACTGGTGTGTAAGGAGATGCTCTCGGTTATGGGGCTGGCACAGAGGGTCAGGTCCTGTGAAGGGGAGGTGGGTGCCCTGGGTGGACATCCAGGGGTCCCGGGTGATGTTGATCTGCCCTGACCTCTGAGACCTCTTGGTCCACCATCCCCAGCCTCACACCCCCAGGATTACACAGTGGAGAATCTCATCCGCGTGGCTGTGGCTGGCTTGGTCCTGGTGGTCCTCGGGATTCTGCTGCTTTAGGACTGGCACAGCTAGAGAAGTCCCCAAGATGCAGCAAGGAGGTAAATACATGAGAGAACAATGCACCCTTCAGAGTGCCAGAGCCTTGGCAATGAATCTGATAGTCCTAGGAGGTTCTGGAAGAAAGTCTGGACCATCATTCGGGAAACCGTCTACTGAGAAAGTCGAGAAGGGGAGGCTTGGGTCAGGTTCAGGAAGATGTCTGGGTGCCTGTAGAGAACGCTTCCTCCATTAAACTTCCATTAAATGGCAGTGCTTTCAGTCCTGCTGTTGTGGATCCTCCGTGTCTGCCCCTCCCTTCCTTTCGCTCTCTGTGATGTGAAGGCACGTCCCCCATGGTGGGTTTGCATCCACACCCCTGCGATCACGTGCTCTGGTCCACTGTCATGTAATACATTTGTCTTTGTTTCCAACTACCGCATTCTCTAAAGTGAACTATTGATTCTCCATCTTTTCAGTTCTGAGCATAGATCTGGATTAAATAACTGGAATAGGTGGGCAGATTTGTATTTGGGACTTTGAAACATGAGTCTGAGGCCAGGCACAGTGGCTCACACCTGTAATCCCAGCACTTTGGGAGGCTGAGGTGGGCGGATCACTTGAGGTCAGAAGTTCGAGACCAACCTGGCCAACATGGTGAAACCCTGTCTCTACTAAAAGATACAAAAATTAGCTGGGTGTGGCAGTGAGCACCTGTAATCCCAGCTGCTCAGGAAGCTGAGGCGGGAGAATAGCTTGAACCCGGGAGGCGGAGGTTGCAGTGAGCCAAGATCTTGCCACTGCACTCCAGCCTGGGCAACAGAGCAAGACTCCATCTCCAAAAAAAAAAAAAAAAAGGGAAATATGAGTCTGAAATGATGCCCTAGCACCCTCTCTGGACCCTGAATTCCCTTCACTCTTCATCGGATGATACCTGTGTACTTTGTCCAGAAATATCATCTCTCAGAATGAGCACACTAACGCTCGAAGGCTCAGCCTCATGGTATTCTGTTAAACTGGCTCTCTGAAAAAATTATTTTCTTAAGAAAACTCTGAACATATAAAGCCCCAGATTTATGGTATTTGCTGATTAGTGTGGTATAAATACGTCCTTTATGGCCAACTTCAGGGTGCCCATATGACGCCATTGAATGCACAGTTGGGAAGTAGTCAAAAGAATTGTCGTTCACACGAGTATGAACCAGTTGTAAAGTTTATTTAAAGGTTATAATAATTTCTGCTTCATTCTTATGGTGTAGTTTCAGTAAAATTGTAATGTCAAAAATCATAGCACAATGGAGGGAAAAGAAAAAAATAGGCCGGGTGTGGTGGCTCATGCCTGTAATCCCAACACTTTGGGAGGCCGAGGCAGGAGGATCACCTGAGGTCAGGAGTTCGAGACCAGCCTGGCCAACATGGTGAAACGCTGTCTCTACTAAAAATACAAAAATTAGCCAGACATGGTGGCGCCTGCCTGTAATCCCAGCTACTTGGGAGGCCAAGGCACGAGAATCGCATGAACCCAGGAGGCGGAGGTTGCAGTGAGCCGAGATCACTACAGCCTGGGTGATAGAGCAAGACTCAGTCTCAAGAAAAGAAAAAAGTAGCAAAATCATTTTTTGGAAAGAATATTGAACATGTAGAATTTTAGTACATTAATAGTAAGAGTACAAATTGCTTTAATCAATTAAGGAAGTGTATTGGAATTATCTAGTTAAAAAGAGGAGGCACATGGCTGTGACCCTTCTTAATTATGTACTTAATTATGTACCCTAGAGATAAATGTCTACTTATGTGTCATGATACACTCACAACTGTTATAGGAATGCTGTTCCTATTAGCCAAAGCTATAAAATACCAAAGTCCACCTACGAAAAAAATAAACATAGTGTGGTAAATAGACTCAGTGGAATATTACAAGGTAGTAAAATGCATAAATGAAAATAACAAACAGCACCATACTTCAATTTTCAAGCATAAAGTCAAGTAAATGAAGTATTATTTGAAAATGTGTGCATGGTTATTTCATTACATAAAGGTCAAAAGGAGGGTACATTTATTATTTAGGAAAACACACCTAAGATATCTTTGTAAAATCTGTAAAATCAATAGTACTGTTTCCCCTCTTTCATTCCTTATCTTGAAAATGCTTGTCTCTTTTTCTGCCATGGCTTTCTACCTTGCTTGATATATTACAATTTTGTAACCTGCTTATTTCATCATATGTCATAAGTTCACATGTATATCCCATGAATTATTGAGGGTCTTATTCATTTCAAGTGGCATTTAGGTTTTTAAAAATATCTTTTGGCGACCAGGTGCAGTGGCTCATGCCTGTAATCCCAGCACTTTGGGAAGCCAAGGCAGGTGGATCACGAGTTCAAGAGACAGAGATCATCCTGGCGAACATGGTGAAACCCCGTCTCTACTAAAAATACAAAAAAAAAAAAAAAAATAGCTGGGCATGGTAGAGGGTGCCTGTAGTCCCAGCTTCTCAGGAGGCTGAGGCGGGAGAATGGCATGAACCCGAGAGACGGAGGTTGCAGTGAGCCGAGATCGTGCCACTGCACTCCAGCCTGGCAACAGAGTGAGACTCTGTCTCAAAAAAAAAAAAAAAAGAAAGAAAGAAAGGAAGAAAAAAAAATCTTCTGGCATTAACTATTAAGAAATTGCACTATAAAAAGAGAATATAATGCATAAGACGGCAATTTGAAAAGATTCAGATATAATTTTTTCTTATCTAGTAAATACTTAGTAATTTGTCTAATGCATGCCTTAAATACATACCACTTTATGCAGAGGTTGCCATGAGCCGAGATCGCGCCGTTGCACTCTAGCCTGGGTGGCAGAGCAAGACTCCATCTCAAAAAAAAAAAAGAAAATCTCACAGAAGGAGACCCAGAGCTTCCAGCCTCGCCCAGAGTCTTGGCTCACTCCCTGTGTGTGTGGACCCTAGGGAGCCTCTTCTGTTCCCCACAGAGGTGGAAACTTCCTCCTTAATAACCCCTTGATGGTCCCAGGCACTGGTGACCACTGAGCTTTGCTCTCTCTTTTTTCTTATGGTTCCCTGTCTACTTCCAGGGCTATCACTTTACTTTTTGTGCATTAGACCATGAATAATGTTTTAGAAACATTCTATCAAATTTCTCAGTGCTAGGAACAACTGAGGTTTTTGATTGGGTGCCTCAAATGTCTACCCTTACTGTGGAGTCCGACAACAGGATTCTAACAAGTCCCAACCCCTTCATGCCTTAACCTGGTCTGGAAATAAATTATGTTTAAGCCATCCCATACCCCAGCCACATCAAGCCCCACAACCACTCTGAGAAGTGAGATTTATAGCAAAATGCTCCAAACAAGGTAACTAAGGTTCAGACAAGGGATGTTAATGTGTCCATTTACATAAACAAAAAATGGTAGATGATCAGCTTTCCCTTTGAAATCAGAGTACTAATCTGACTCATTGTTCCCTGAATTTTAGAGGCAGGACCTCAGGAGGAGCTAAGAATCCTACCCCAGGAAAATTACCAATATCAGAAAGGAAACAATGACATCAGTACAGATCCTACAGAATTCAAAAGATTCTAAGTGGACATTATGAAGACATTATTCAGCTTAGATGAAGTGGTCACATATCACAAGAAAACAAACTGTCTAAAACAATCTCTGAAATACCTAGACATTCCCTGAATCATTGAGTTATTAAATAAAATACATTTTAAAATTAAACTCTTTTCAGGAAATAAACTTCAATGTCCCCTAGTGCACTCTCCAAAACATGTAGATGGGAATAAATACTGTTCTGAAAGACATTTCCCTGGAATTACAACCATTCAATATATTTTAAAAGGCAATCATAAAAATATAAAAAGGATATATCAGGAGAAGAAATGTAAATGGCCTAAATTCCCCACATAAAAGGCATAGAGTGGCAACGTGGATAAAAAGCCAAGAGCCAACTGCCTGCTGTCTTCAAGAGACCCATCTCACATGTAATGACACCCACAGGCTCAAAGTAAAAGGATGAAGAAATATTTACTAGGCAACCAGGAAACAAAAAAAAGGAAGGCATTCCTATTCTTATATCACATGAAACACACTTTAAATCAACAGCAATCAGGAAGGACAAAGAAGGGCATTACAAAATGATAAAGGGTTCAATTTGACAGAAGACTTAACTATTCTAAATATATATGCACCCAAATTTGGAGCACCCCGATTCATAAAACAAGTTATTCTTCACCTATGAAAAGAGTTAGACAGCCACACAATAATAGTAAGGGACTTCAGTATCCCACTAACAACGTCAGATGAATCACTAAAACAGAAAACTAACAAAGAAATTCTGGTCTTAAAGACAACACTTGACCAATTGGACCTCATAGACATCTACAGAGTACTCCACCCAACAACTGCAGAATATAGATTCTTCTTATCTGCACACACAAAAAACATATCATATTCTAAGACTGGCCACAAAGCAAGTCTCAATAAATTCAAAGAATCAAAATCATAACAAGGCACACAATAAAAATAGAAAAAAATACCAAGATGATCTCTCAAAACTACAGAAAAACATGGAAATTTAACAACTTGTTTCTGAATGAATATTAAGAGCCATCTATGACAAATCCACAGCCAACATCATATTGAATGGTCAAAAGCTGGAACTGTACCCCTTGAGAACTCTTGGGTGAACAATGAAATTAAAGCAGAAATCACAAAACATTATTTAAAATTAATAAAAATAGAAACAAACTTACCAAAACCTTTGGGATGCAGTTAAAGCAGTGATAAGAGGAAAATTTATAGCAATACATGCCTCATCAGAAGTTTAGAAAGATCTCAAATTAGTGACTTAACACTGCATCTAGAGGAACTATTAAAAAAAAGGAACAGTCCAAACCCAAGGCCAGCAAAAGATGAGAAATAACTAAAGTCAGAGAGAACTGAATAAATTGAGACCAAAAAGTCCATACAAGAGATAAATAAAACCAAGAGTTTTTCTTTGAAAAAAAATAAACAAAATTCATAGACTGTTAGCTAGATTAACAAAGAAAAAGAGAAAAGATCCAAATAAACACAAATAGAACTGACAAAACAATGTTACGAACAATCCCACAGAAATAGAAAAGATCGTCAAAGACTATTATGAACACCTCTATACAAACAAGCTAGAAAACCTAGAAGAAATGGATAAATTCCTGGTAACACAAAATTTATCATATTTCAACCAGGAAGAAAGTGAAAACCTGAACAGACCAATAACAAGTTCAGAAATTTAATCAGTAATAAAAACCCTACTAACTAAAAATAGCCCAGGACCAGACGGATTCACAGCCAAAATCCAACAGCCATACAAAGAAGAACTGATACCGATCTTACTGAAACTTTTGGAAAAAATCAAGGAGTGGGGGCTTCTTCCTAACTCATTCTATGAAGCCATCATCACCATGATACCAACATCTGTCAGAGACATAATGAAAAAAAGAAAACTACAACTAAATATCCTTAATGAACATAGACATAAAATCCTCAACAAAATGCTAGCAAATTGAATCTGTCAGTGCATCAAAAGTTAATTCACATGATCAAGTAAGCTTTATTTTTGGGATGCAAGGTTGGTTCAACCTACAAAGTCAACGAATGTGATTCACCTCATAAACATAATTAAAAACAAAAACTATATGATCATCTCAATAGATGCAAAAAAAGCTTTCTGTAAAATCCAACATCCCTTCATGATAAAAACTGTCAATAGGCATCAAAGGAACATACCTCAAAATATTAAGAGCCATCTATGACAAACCCACAGCCAACATCATATTGATGGGCAAAAGCTGGAACCATACCCCTTGAGAACCGAAACAAGACCAGGATGACCACTCCCGCCATTTTAATTCAACATGGTACTGGAAGTCCTAGCCAAAGCAATCAGGCAAGAGAAGGAAATAAAAGGCATTAAAATTGGAAAAGAAGTAGTGATACTGTCTCTCTTTGCTGATGAAATAATTTTATACATAGAAAACCCTAAAGACTCTGTCAGAAGGCTCCTGAAACTGATAAACAAATTCAATAAAGTTTCGGGATTAAAAAAATGTACACAAATTAGTAACATTTCTATGCACCACTAACATTCTAGCTGAGAACTAAATCAAGAACACAATTCCATTTACACTAGCCACAAAGAAAATAAAATACCTAGGAATCCATCTAACCAAGAAGGTGAAAATTCTCTACAAGGAGAACTACAAAACACTTCTGAAAGAAATAAGAAATGATACAAACAAATGGAAGAATATTCCATGCTCATGAATTAGGAGAACAAATAGTTAAAATCGCCATACTTCCAAAAACAAATTGCAGAGTCAATGCTATCCATTTCAAAATGCAATGTCATTTTTCACGAAATTATAAAAATTTATTCTAAAATGTATTTGGCACCAAAAAAAGAGCCTGAATACACATAGGAATCCTAAGCACAAAGAACAAAGCCCAGGCATCACATTACCCAACTTCAAACTATACTACAATGCTATAGTAACCCAAACAGCATGATACTACTACAAAAACAGACACATAGACCAATGAGACAGAATAGAGAACCCAGAAATGAGGCTACATACCTACAATCATCTTTGAAAAAATTGACAAAAACAAGCAATGTGGAAAGTACCCTTTCTTCAATAAATAGTTCTGGGATAACTGACTACTCATATGCAAAATAATAGAACTGGACCCCTAACTCTCACTATATACAAAAATTAACCCAAGATAGTTTAAAGATTTAAATGTAAAACCTCAAAATATTAAAATTCTAGAAGAAAACCTAGGAAATATCCTTCTCAAGATAGACTTTGGCAAAGAATTTATGGCTAACTCCCCAAAACCAATTGTGACAAAGACAGAAATTGGGACCTAACTCAACTGAAGAGCTTCTGCACAGCAAACGAAAGTATCAACAGAGTAAACAGATAACCTACAGACTGGGAGAAAATATTTGCAAACTATGCATCTGACAAAGTTCTAATATCCAGAATCTATAAGGAATGTAAACAAATCAACAAGCAGAAAACCAAAAAACCTCAATTAAGTATGACATGAACAGACACTTCTCAAAAGAAGATGTACACATGGCCAAAAAACATATGAACAAATGCTTATTATCAGTAATCATCAGAGAAATGCAAATTAAAACCACAGTGAGATACCATCTCACAACAATCAGAGAAGCAGAAGCAATTACTAAAAAGTTTTTTGTTTTTTTTAATAACAGATGCTGACAAGATTGTGGAGAAAAGGGAACACTTATACACTCTTGGTGGGAATGTTAACTAGTTCAGCCAATGTGATAAGCAGTTTGGAGACTTCTCAAATAACTTAAAATAGAACTACTATTCAATCAAGCAATCCCACTACTGGGTATATACCAAAAGGAAGGTAATTAACTATGTCAAAAAGACACATGCACTAGTATATTCATTGCTGTGCAATTCAGAATAGCAAAGATTTGCAGTCAACCTAAGTGCTCACCAACAGTGGATTAGTTAAAGAAAATGTGCTACATATACACATGGAACATTACATGGCCATAAAAAATAATGAAATCATGTCCTTTGCAGCAACATGAATGTAGCAGGAGGTCAATCTCCTAAGTGAACTAACCCAGGAACAGAAAACCAAATACCACATGTTATCACTTATAACTGAGAACCAAACATTGAATACACATGAACATAAAGATGGAAACAACAGATACCGAGGACTACAGATGGGGGGAGGAGTAGGGAGGTATAGGCTGAAGAAACACCTGTTGGATTCTATGCTCATTGCCTGGGTGATGGCATTGTTGGAACCACAAACCTCAGAGTCACACAATATGCCTATGTAACAAACCTGCATGCATACCTTTAATCTACAGTAAAGGTTGAAGTTATTTAAAAATAGGAAGAAGAATTACCCTATACCTAAAGCTAAGATTTTTCCCTTTGAATATTCGTTTCTTCATCACTGTAGATAAGCAGGGAAAGAAAAATTATTAAACTATACTAGCCTTTTATGTGACCATGAGGATTTGGGGTAGGTAGGTGGACAGCTTAGATAATTCACCAGGATATTGATACAGGCTCCATGGCTGGAAATAACCAAGGATGAGTGCTGTGTTTTGAGTGGTCTCCCCCAGAAACGTTTGTTGAAATCCTAACCCCTGGTATGTATGAATGTGAATTCATATTATATAAAAAGGAATAAATAGCCTGAGCACAGTGGCTCACACCTGTAATCCCAGCACTTTGGGAGGCCAAAGCAGGTGGATCATTTGAGGTCAGGAGTTCTGGCCAATATGGCAAAACTTCATCTCTACAAAAAAAAAATACAAAAAAAAAAATTGGCTGGGTATGGTGGCGCATGCCTGTAGTCCCAGCTACTCAGGAGGCTGAGGCAGGAATTGCTGAAACCTGGAAGGCAGAGGTTGCAGTGAGCCAAGATCATGCCACTGCACTCCAGCCTGGGTGAGACGGCAAGATATTCTGTCAAAAATAAATAAATAAAAAACAGAAGAAGAAATACAAGAATGACAGCAAACTTTGTATTCAAAACTATGAAAGTAAGAAACAGGTGGACCAACATTTTTAAAGTGCTACAAGAAAATATTTCAAACTAGAATCTTTCAACCTGAAAAGGAAAACATTTTCCTGCAATAAAGGTGCCATTAAAAATGTCTCACAATTTATTACATGAAGCATTGTTCTACAATAAATGTTAAGCTCTTGAAGCAAAGATTAATGATACCATTTAGTAACTTGAAATTCAAAAAAGTGGAAGTATCCCAAGAGGCAAATACGTGTGCAATTATTAAATGTTTCATATCAACACCCAACCTTATGCTGTCTACATAAGCTGCACTTCAAATACTAATCCACAAGATGTAAATATTGAAAGAATGACATTACCTTGTCATGATAATGCCCAGTGCAAAATATGCTTCTAGTCAGTTGTATACATAGAATAGGTAAATGTTTGTAATAAAAAGTATTCCTCAATAGAAGTTTCTTAACTCAAAGAATGAAATATTTCACCATGCACATACAAAGAAGAGATATATGGAGATATGAAGAGGAGTACTTCATAATGACAAAGAGGCAAATTCATAAATAAGACATAATCATCCTAAATGCCTACACACCTAAAGCTGGAACCTCAAAACACATTAAATTAAAGGCATAATTCAAAACATAATCAATCACATCCAAATTGCAGCTAGAGATAGCAACATTCACCTCACTTCCAGAACAAGTACACAGAAAATTATTAAGCATATGAAAGACTTGAAAAACATTTGTGTAGGCGGCGGGTGCATAAGGTTGGGTGTTGATATGAAACATTTAATAATTTCAATAATCCTAGCACTTTGGGAGGCCAAAATGGGAGGATCACTTGAGGCCAGGAGTTTGAGACCAGCCTGGGCACCATAGTGAGACCCCGTCTCTATTTTTTTTAAATAAAGAAAAACATTTGAATGATTTTTTTCTTAACTGACATTTAGAAAGCATCCACCTCAAATCTTCCTAATCCACAAACTTGTCTAGCACCCCTGGAACATTCACCAAAATAAATTTTTAAATGCTGAATCATAGGTAATATGATAGATGAAACAGTTGAATTAAATTATAAATGTACAACAAGGAAATGCTGGGGAAATTATCAAATATTTTAAAATTAATAAACACACATAGCAATAAACAATGAGTGGAAGAAAAACATTTCAAAGAAAGGTGGAAAATATTTTGTATCAATTAAAAATGAAAACACATCTCGGCAAATGACTGGGGATACAGATAGAACAGCGTTAAGGGACAATAAGCCTCAAATGTCTGTGTTAGAAAAGAAGGAAGAGCTGAGTAAATAGGTAACTTTCACTTGCAGAAATACTACACATCAGCAAATTAATTCCAAAGTAACGTCGAGGAAAAACATAAAATGGCAAGCAAATATATACGTGCATATGTACATACATTCATAAATGACAAACAGGACAGAAAAATCAGTGACATCAATTTTGTTCCTTAGAAGAAACAGGAAAATTGACCCCAAAAAACTTTCCAGGCCACATTTGGTCATGATGGAAATATTTTGGCACTTCCTGGTTAAGCTCAACACCAACTTGCACCCAAAACCAATAATTTCATTTCTAGGTAAATATGTCTAATTAATTCAGCATATGTATGCAAGGGATCACACAGAAACACGATTATCAAGGCCCGAGTTATAAAAGAGAAAATCCGGAAACAACACAAATGTCCATGATAAAAAGAATGGATAATTACATGTTGATAAAGTTATGCATGGACTATTAAACTGCAATCCAAAAGAATAAAATAGAGCTATAAAATTCAATATGTATATGGTGTCATAGAAACACAAATGTGAGAAAAAGAAAGAAAAATACAAAATTTATATTTTTTAAAATTTGAAACAACTATATATGTGAGTGCTTAGGGTGTGTGTGTGTGTGTGTGTGTGTGTGTATAACCATATGTATATAAATGCACACATACGCACACATATAGAATGTCCCGGCCAGGCATGGTGGCTCACACCTGTAATCTCAGCACTTTGGGAGGCTGAAGTAGACAGATCACTTGAGGTTAGGAGTTCAAGACCAGCCTGGCCAACATGGAGAAACCTCCTCTCTACTAAAAGTACAAAAATTAGGTGGGCGTGGTGGTGGGTGCCTGTAAATCCAGCTACTTAGGAGGCTGAGGCACGAGAATTGCGTGAACCTGGGAGGTGGAGGCTGCAATGAGCCGAGGTCTCACCACTGCATTCCAAACTGGGTGACGAAGTGAGATTGCGTCTCAAAAAAAAAAAAAGTTCTAAAAGTTGTGACTTGGGTGTGGCAGATTGTGACATACTGCCAGCTGCTAGAAATGCTGGGGCAGGAGGATTGCTTGAACTCTGAAGTCAAAGAACAGCCTGGGGAAAATAGCACATGAAGAAGAGTTTGAATCTCAGATAAAAACAACAAAAATACATCAAAAGTCTTTAATGTAAGCCAAGCATTCAGTCATCTCCTGTATGAGAGATTGGATCTGAGACGTGTTTTGAGTTGGTTATAGTGAAGGATGCAAGGTGTCAATTCTAGTTGGAACAATTTCCAGGAAGCCATGTTCTGCTCTTGACCAAACAGCCACTGGGCCTCATGCAAGGTAGAAATAGCCTGCATACGTCATCCTCCCATGATGTGGTCAGCATGTAAACTGCATGAGCCCCTCACAACATCCTGTGTGCTGCTGAACTGAGCTGGGGCGCAGCCGCCTGTCTGCACCGGCAGCACCATGTCGCTCATGGTCGTCAGCATGGCGTGTGTTGGTGAGTCCTGGAAGGGAATCGAGGGAGGGAGCGGTGGGGTGGAGATCTGGGCCTGGAGTGGAGATATGGGCCTGGAGTGGAGATATGGGCCTGGAGTGGAGATATAGGCCTGGAGTGGAGATATGGGCCTGGGGTGGAGATATGGGCCTGGAGTGGAGATATGGGCCTGGAACTGTAGATATGGGCCTGAAGTAGAGATATGGGCCTGGAGTAGAGATATGGGCCTGGAACTGTAGATATGGGCCTGGAGTGGAGATATTGGCTTGGAGTGCAGATATGGACCTGGAATTGAGATACGGGCCTGGAGGTGGAGATATGGGCCTAGAGTGGAGATATGGGCCTGGAGGTGGAGATATGGGCCTGGAACTGTAGATATGGGCCTGGAGTAGAGATATGGGCCTGGAGTGGAGATGTTGGCTTGGAGTGCAGATATGGGCCTGGAATGGAGACACGGGCCTGGAGGTGGAGATACAGGCCTGGAGGTGGAGATATGGGCCTGGAGTGTAGATATGGGCCTGGAGTAGAGATATAGGACAGAGGTGGAGATATAGGCCTGGAGTGGAGATATGGGCCTGGAGTAGAGATATAGGACGGAGGTGGAGATATGGGCCTGGAGTGGAGATATGGGCCTGGAGGTGATGTACAGATGGATCATCCATCATGATCTTTCTTTCCAGGGTTCTTCTTGCTGGAGGGGCCCTGGCCACATGTGGGTGAGTCCTTCCCCCAAACCTTAGGTTGTCATCTCCCCACATAAGATGATGTTCCTGAAACGGGAGGCAGGCGACACAGGGGGTTGACTGATGGGCTGACCATGGGAAGCCATGTGGGAATCTCTCATGAACTAGGAAAAGGAAGCCAGGGGAAGCTTCGCCACAGTTCTGTCCTAGCCCTCCCCGGCCTTTCTTTCCCTTGGCTGAGTCTGTGGGGACCCAGGGGGAGACTGAAGTGCTCAAAGGAGTGGTGTGCAGGGAGGAAGTGGTGTCACCGGCAGAGGAAGGGAGAGAAGCAGTGCAAGGAACAACAGGCCTCTGAGGACAAGAGCATAACTCACACCCTCCAGCGTTTCCATGACGGTAGGGGCTGCAATGTGGCTGCTGTCATTCTACCTAAGAGGTGGGGGAACCACAGTCATGACCCTGACATTCCAGATCTTCTAATAGGGGCTCAGTTGTTTATTATGGTTCATGCATTAGCTGATCATGCCCTCCATCCTGTGTCTACCTTGTGTTCTTTTATGTAAGTAATTTTGCAGTGTTAAAATCTAGTAAGAGTCGCTTCTTCAGCACCTGCTCAAAGTTCTCAGCTGACACTTGCTGTAGGGAGACGCCATGTCTATGCGGGATGGGTCCTTCCTGTAGCCCTGGGCACCCAGGTGTGGTAGGAGCCTTAGAAACGTGGAAATGGGAGAATCTTCTGAGCACAGGGAGGGAGGGGCGGCTCCACATCCTCCTCTCTAAGGTAGTGCCTCCTTCTCCCCCAGGTGGTCAGGACAAGCCCTTCCTCTCTGCCTGGCCCGGCACTGTGGTGTCTGAAGGACAACATGTGACTCTTCAGTGTCGCTCTCATCTTGGGTTTAACGAATTCAGTCTGTCCAAAGAAGACGGGATGCCTGTCCCTGAGCTCTACAACAGAATATTCCGGAACAGCTTTCTCATGGGCCCTGTGACCCCAGCACATGCAGGGACCTACAGATGTTGCAGTTCACACCCACACTCCCCCACTGGGTGGTCGGCACCCAGCAACCCTGTGGTGATCATGGTCACAGGTCAGAGGCTTTCTGTCTGGGCTTCTCACTGTCCCACCTCCTGAATCCCAGAGCTTCTGGTGGGGGCGTCCATCAGGGTCCAATCATCCAGGCCCAGACTGTATTTGGGGTAAAGGGGGATTCAGTACAGAGAAATAGTTGCTGTGGTGGGAAGAATAATTGTCCCCAGTGATGGCTACATGGTAATCCATGAACCCTGTGACTATTTATGTCATAGGGCAGGGGACTGAAGGGGAAGATGGAGCTCAGGTTGTTGATGAGTTGACCTTGCGATGGGGAGACAGCCTGGACTGTCCTGCTGTGCTCAGAGTAATCACAAGGGTCCTCATGAGAGGAGGAGGAAGAGGAAAGTGGGGTTAGAGCAACGTCGTGGGAGGGAGACTCCATCAGCCACAGCGGGCTTTGAAGATGGGGGAAGGCCATGAGCCACAAAGGCAGTTGGCCTCTAAGGGCTGGAGAAGTCAAGGGAACTGATTCTTCCCTGAGTCTCCAGAGGAAACACAGCCCTGTAGATGCCTTGATTTTAGCCCAGAGAGAACTGGGTCCGATTTCTGTTCTCCAGAAGTGGAAGGGGTCATTGTATTCTCTCCTGCCCCATGTTTGTGACAATTTTCTCCAGCAGCAACAGGAAACCAACACAGGAACCCAGGTGAAGCACAAGTTAAGAAACCAAACAAGGAGAAGGTTGGCTACACTGATTTTAGCATGGGTGGGATACTGATGCTACCACCAGGCTCGATCCACATAGGGAGGGGTTGATGCTCCTGGAACCAGCACCAGGGGCCACCCTATGGAAGCTGGGGCCATGGAGAAGGCACAGACATGACAGGAGAGGCTCCCAATCCCCATCAGGAACAGGGACACTGATGCCTGCCTTACTGATGAGTTCGTACCTCCTGCCAGCCTTTCCAATCTGTCCAAAAGAGATTGATTCAGGCTGCTAAGAGCCTGGACATGCAGCCTGTCGTGGTTCCTCTTCCACCCCCACATAAACACCAGGAAAGAGATTAGTGGGAAACAGATACAACAGCATAAGAGGTGACACTGAGCACAGTGGGAAGGGAATCAGGGCTACTAGAGACAGAGAGACAGGGAAGAGGGAGGGAGACAGATGGAGGGACCTGCAACAGGGGTTATGGGCACAAAAGAACACGGAGACACAGAGAGGAAGGAGAGAGATAGACACCATGGAGGGGAAGCCTCACTTATTTCAGGTCCCATGAATGGGATGAGAAAGGGAGACGCCTTCTGAACTCACAACCTCTCTTCTTAGGAGTCCACAGAAAACCTTCCCTCCTGGCCCACCCAGGTCCCCTGGTGAAATCGGGAGAGACGGTCATCCTGCAATGTTGGTCAGATGTCAGGTTTGAGCGCTTCCTTCTGCACAGAGAGGGGATCACTGAGGACCCCTTGCGCCTCGTTGGACAGCTCCACGATGCGGGTTCCCAGGTCAACTATTCCATGGGTCCCATGACACCTGCCCTTGCAGGGACCTACAGATGCTTTGGTTCTGTCACTCACTTACCCTATGAGTTGTCGGCTCCCAGTGACCCTCTGGACATCGTGGTCGTAGGTGAGAGAATACAGACCTGCCTCTCACCCTTGCTGGGAGATGGAGTGAATGATCTAGGACTGGAAGCCCCAGGTGGTCATGAGGAAGATGAGTGTGGGGTTCCTATGGAGAGAAAGTGACTTGGTGAGGTCTGTACCAACAAAGGCAGAGAAACAGGAGACACAAGTACAGACCTCATGTCATAACATAGAAGCCAGACACAGGGGCCATACAAGGTGTTAGAAAAAGAGATAAAGAGGTAAAGAAGACACAGAGAGACAGATATATCCCAGAGAGAGGTGTCCTTCTATGCTGACTTTGTTCAGAGACCAGGCACAGGTTAGAAGGTTCCATTCTGTTTTACCTCTACAAAGTGTTCTCTCCCAGGAGAACCCAAAGAGACACATCTATCTGGCCTGAGTTGGGCCGTGTGGCCCCAGGCTGGTGGCACCTACAGATGCTGTGTTTATTCTTAAACCTCTGCCTTCCGTGCAGTGGAGCTGTCGTCGTCGCAGGACACCATGGCCCCAGGTGAGGGAGCAGAACACCAACCCCTGTATGTTGTGAGTTCCTGGAGTCCCCATACTGGATTCTGAGGCTCATATTCAAATAGCACCACATGTTATAGGATTACTGAGAACAAAAGCCCACAGAGAGACACGGAGTGAAATCAGGGAAATCAAAAAGCAAAGACATGAACACACACACAGAATGAGCCAGAAGAAGGGAATTGAGAGACTCACAGACACATAAAGAGATAGAAAAAGAGGGCAGAGAAGTGGAGCGTATGATGGAAGGAAGCAGAGAAAAGCCCTAAAATCAGAGCCCTGAGGGAGGGGCACAAAGACAGGGAAAGATAAAGATGTGGGGATGGATTGCAGAGACTCCAAAAGGGAACTAGAGAGACTGAGAGGCAGAGAAAGACAAGGAGATGGAGAGAGACAGATGATAGATGGATAGATAGATATAGATAGATGAAAGATAAAAGGTAGATGATAGATAATAGAGAGACAGGTGATAGACAAATAGATGATGAATGACTGATAGATGATATAGATAGACAAGTAGAAAGACAGACAGATGATATATAAATAGATATAGAGAGATAGAAAGACAGATAAACACATGATGATAGATGGATAGATGCATACATACATACATTGATTGATAGATGATAGATAACAGAGAGATAGGTCATAGATACACAGATGATGATAGATGATAGATACATACATAGATAAATGATAGATCGATCAATAGATAGTAGATAGAAATATGCAGAAAGTTATGAGCAAGACAGAAAGTGAGAGACTCAGAATTAAAGAAAGAGGAAGATCAAGTCAACCAGTCCAAGGAGGGTCAGAGAGAATAAAATGGTACAAAAAAAGAAAACATAGCTAGGGATGGAGAAGTGAGGTCAGAGACCTAGAGAGACAGAGAAGGTGGAAGGAGGAAATAGACATGAAGAGAGATGGGGGTGGAGGGTGAGAGAGAGAAAGAGAGCATTAAGTCATAGAGCAGGGGAGTGAGTTCTCAGCTCAGGTGTGAGGAGAGCTGTGACAACGAAGAACCTCCCTGAGGAAACCACCTCTTCTCCTTCCAGGTCTATATGGGAAACCTTCTCTCTCAGCCCAGCCGGGCCCCACGGTTCAGGCAGGAGAGAATGTGACCTTGTCCTGCAGCTCCCGGAGCTTGTTTGACATTTACCATCTATCCAGGGAGGCAGAGGCCGGTGAACTTAGGCTCACTGCGGTGCTGAGGGTCAATGGAACATTCCAGGCCAACTTCCCTCTGGGCCCTGTGACCCACGGAGGGAACTACAGATGCTTCGGCTCTTTCCGTGCCCTGCCCCACGCGTGGTCAGACCCGAGTGACCCACTGCCCGTTTCTGTCACAGGTGAGAAAACACCATGCCTGTCCCATGTCTTGTGATCCTAGAGCCATAGCTGAGGAGCTTCCTGCTGATGATGGAGAGAAGCATGGACAGATGCCGAGACAGAACACACAGCATGGGTGTAAGGGCGGGGTCAGGGGGCAGGATGGCAGACAGGGCACCTCCAAACCCTCCTGTATGGCCTGCAAGGAGGCCCTTGATCAGGGTTCCAGGCACCCAGGCAGATGGAGAAAGAGGTCAGAACAGACCCAGAGGAGGGAGACTGGGCTCTGCCTGGGGAGATCAGAGGTTCTCTCAGCCCCTCAACCTTACCCACTTCCCAGAAGCCCATCCTGGCCTGTCACCCACAGAGAGATGTCATCACCAGCAACGCCTACACCCTTTTCTTTTTGTTTGAAGAAATATTTATTGAGGTGAAATATACCTATGTAATTTACCACCTTTACCATTTTTAAGTGTGAAGTCTACTGTTCATAAATACATTTATAGGCTGGGCACGGTGGCTCACTGTTGTAATCCCAACACTTTGAGAGGCCAAGGCAGGTGGATCATTTGAGATCAGGGGCTCAAGACCACCCTGGCCAACATGGGGAAAATCCATCTGTACTAAAAATACAAAATAATAATAATAATGATAATAATTAGCCGAGCATGGTGGCACATGCCTGTAGTCCCAGCTACTTGGGAGGGTTGGGCAGGAGTTGCACTTAATTGCAGGAGGCGGAGGTTGCAGTGAGCTGAGATCATGCCACTGCACTGCAGCCTGGGCAACAGAGAGAGACACTCTCTCAAAATTAATTAATTAATTAATTAGTATTCTTTTTTTTTTACCCTCCACCCTTCCCTTCCTGGCCTCTGGTAGCCACCATTCTACTCTCTACCTTTGTGAGATCCACCTTTTAGCTCCTGCATATGAGTGAGAAATGGAAATACTTGTAATGACCTCCAGTTCCATTCATGTGGCTGTAAATGACAGGATGTTACTCTTTCTATGGATGAGTTGTCCCTATTGTGTGTGTGTACCACATTCTCTCCATCCATTCACCCACTGATGGGCGGGTAGGTTGATCCACATCTTGGCTACTGTGAACACTGCTGGAACAGTCATGGGAGTGCAGATGTCACTTCGATACGCTGATGTCCTTTCCTTTGGGTTTACACCCAGTCATGGAATTGCTAGATCCTCTGGAAGTGTCTTTTTACATTTTGTTTTATGGTTTTTGTTTTTGTTTTTGTTTTTTTTAGACAGTTTCACTCTTGTTGCCCAGGCTGGAGTGCAGTGGTGCCATCTGGGCTCACTGCAACCTCCACCTCCAGGATTCAAGAGATTCCCCAGCCTCAGCCTCCCAAGTAGCTGGGTTACTGGCTCCCACCACCACACTCGGCTAATTTTTATATTTTTAGTAGAGACAGAGTTTCGCTATATTGGCCAGGCTGCTCTTCAACTCCTGACCTCAAGTGACCTACCCACCTCGGCCTCCCAATGTGCTGGGATTACAGGCATGAACCACTGTGCCCGACCTCATTTTATTTTTTGAGGAACTTCCATACTCTTCTCCTCTGTAATGGCTGTACTAATTTACATTCGTATCAGCAGTGTACCAGATGCAACCCTGGTTGACTCAGCAGAGCAAGAGACGTGCAGTAAGAGAGAATTTAGCTTATTTATGCACACGACACTTCCACTCACTCACTCGTTCAGCCAATGCCCCATGCTCTGGCTGTGCAGTGTGGAATCTTTTCCTATTGTTGCCATAACAAATTTCCACAAGCTTCGTGGATGAAAACATGTTTTTCTTAATTATCTCACAGTGCTGTAACTCAGAAGTATGAACTGCATTTCACTGGGCTGATATCAAAGGGACAGTAAGGCTGGATTTCTTTTTAAGGTTCCAAGCAAGAATCTGCTCCTTAACGTTTCCCAGCTCCTAGAGGCTCCCACGTTCCTGGGCCCCTGGTCCCCTTCCTTCTTCCTCCTTCCTCAAAGCCCACAAAGGCTGGTCACGTCTCACATGGCATCATTCAGACTCTTCTTCTTTACCCATACCTTTTTCTCTGAATCCTGCTCTGCCTTCTTCCTCATCTTTTAAGGACTTTGGGATTCTATTGGGGTCACCAAGATAATCCATCTCAATCTCCCTAAAATCATCCAGCGTACCCTCTTTTTAAGTTCAGCTGATTAGCAACCGTAATGCCATCTGCAATCTTCATTCCTCCTTTCCTGTAAAATAACATATTCACAAGCTATGGAGGCTAAGACAGGGACATTTTGGGGGTGGGGCAGCATTCTCCTGCCTTCCACAAATGGTAAACAGGATGCATTTGGCCTCTGCTCTTGGGACGCTGATATTGCAGATGGGTAAATGCGAGGGCAGAGAATGAATGCACAAGGGTACCAATAAATGAATGATCCATTGGGAAGCATCTGTGCACCAAATCTGGGGTTTTTTGTGTGTGTGTGTGTTTTTTGTTTTCTTTTTTTTTTTTGAGTAGAGTCTCTCTCTGTTCCACAGGCTGGAGTGCAGTAGCACAATCTCAGCTCATTGCAACCTCTGCCTCCTGGGTTCATGCAATTCTCCTGCCTCAGCCTACCGAGTAGCTGGGATTACAGCTGTGCGCCACCACACTCGGCTAATTTTTTTGGTATATTTTTTAGTAGAAATGAGGTTTCACCATGTTGTGCAGGCTGTCTCAAACTCCCAATCTCAAGTGATCCCACCGCCTTAGCGTCCCTAAGTGCAAAGATTACAGGCGAGAGCTACTGCGCCCAGCCAGGATTTAAAATAAGTAATAGATAATGCTGAGTATATAATTTCAGGTGACAGAGAAGGTCTCACTGATCAGATAATATTTGTGACCTTAATGGAAAAAATGGATTCAACCCTTGGAAGATTGGCGGAAGGATTTTCCACACTGAGCTCTCAGCCGTGAAGGCACAAAGGTGGAAACATTCTTAGTTCAAGGAAGAGGCTCTGCCTCAAATGCTGGGAATGAGATGGGGAGAATGACAAGACAACTGTAGAGAGATGGAGAGCACACTGGGTACACAGGAAACTAAGGAGGAACAAGGAGCATGTTTTTGATACTCACAGCCCTTGGATTCAACTCAGAGCTAACTAGGAATCCCTACCTGATTAACAGTGACCGACATGAAAATAAGGGAGGCCCAGGTGCGTAACTGGAATCTAGGAGACCGTGGAAAAGGCAATTCCCGCCCCACTGGTGAAACGTAGGGTTGATTTACACACTAAATGAATGAAAGATGGATATAAGCTATGCTTGTGAGGTAGAATCATTTGCAGGGAGGGCTTGCTGGGTTTGATTTTTCCTAGTAGTTTAATCCTTGTTTCATTAATTTCTTTCTGAGATGTGTTTTTTTTCTACATCTAAATCAATACCTGGCAGAGGAGCGATAGACACATGAGGGGTGGTGCAAATGAAGGGACCTAGTATAATATAATATACAAGACTGTGGATGGGGGCTCACACCTGTAACCCAACACTTTGGGAGGCCAAGGCGGGTAGATCACTTAAGGGTAGGAGTTTGAGACCAGCCTGGCCAACATGGTGAAACCCCGTCTGTACTAAAAATACAAAAATTAGCCTGGTGCATTGGCACCTGCCTGTAATCCCAGCGACTGGGGAGGCTGAAGCAGAAGAATGGCTTCAACCCTGGAGGCAGAGGTTGAACTGAGATCGCATCACTGCACTCCAGCCTGACACAGGGGGACTCTGTCTCAAAAAATAAAAATAAAACATACATAATTATGACACACAGAAATTACAAAGGCAACTGGATACCAACCATCATTTTTCTATTTCTCTGTGTTTAATTCTTTGACCCTTTATCTTATCCATTAAACAATCAGGTTAAACCTCTTCCTTATTTGGCTTTCTGTGAGCTTGGGATCATATGGAAAATGTGAAAGCCTCCTGAACCCACCAGCACAGGTCCTGGAATAGAGAACATGCTCTGTTCATGGCATAAAACTTGCCCCTTCACCCAAATCCCCCAATTCATCTCTACTTCCAATCACCTATGGAGATACAGATAGATCATGGGGAGGTAAACACTAATACTCTTTGGAGTGAGCTCAGATCTTGGACTCAGAGACCAGTGCCAGCACTAGCCCCTGGTCACATTTCGTACTAACTCACAGAAGGACAGGCTGTATTGAAACAATAAACGACGGAGAGGGCGGTCCTTCCCCGTGCTTCTCGGGTGGAATAGCAGCCTAATATATGTCTCAGCAGATCACAAAAAGTAGCATGTTGTTCCTGGGCTACATCATTATTTCATGGCTGTTTGATTTAAGTCAGTTCTACTTCACTTTTTTTATCTTGATTTCATTTTTTCTTTCTTTTCTTGGAGAATGTAATTTTTTTTGAGTCAAGAGGGTTGTGGTGGTAGAAACTGTAAAGCACATTCGCTGTGTATCAATCCCAATCCAGTCTTCCCAGAGAAGATTCTAAACACCTCCTGGAATGCACCTGGGCCTATACCAATTCCTATCACTCACCGTCACTCCAGGGAGACAGAACACACAGAGAACACATTACACAGGCAGGTTCATTACTAACAGATAAGCAGCGAGTGACAACAGAAACCTACATTTCAATGTGAGCCAGTCCCTCAAGGCTCAGAAAAGCTGCTCGAGACATGTGGAGTCACCCCATATGCAGTGTATCTGGGGGAAATCAAAAAGCAGCCCAGCCTGGGTTTTGTACCCTGGAGCCACAGGAAGCACTCAGCTAAAGCACTGCATGACGTCCTCCTCCAGGAAGAACAGGAAGACAGCCCAGGCTGTTCTGGGATGTTCCTCCTGATCTCAGGACGTTGCTGTCTTAGTCCATTTTTGTTGCTCTAAAGGAACACTTGAGCCTGGGTAACTTCTAAAGAAAAGAAATGTGTTTGCCTCACAGTTCTGCAGGCTGTACTGGAAGCATGGCACCAGCATCTATTTCTTGTGACGGCCTCAGGCTGCTCCCACTCTGGCAGAAGGGAAGGAGGGTCTGTCTGTGCAGAGACCACAGAGATCACACGGCAAGAGAGGGACCAAGGGGGAGGGGGAGCGATGGAGCTTCCAAGCTCTTTTAACAACCAGTTCTCCAGGAACTAATAGAGGGGGAACTTGCTAACCCCGTCTCCTTGGAACAGCATTGATCTGTTCATGATGGATCCACCTCCATGACCCAAACAACTCCCAAGAGGCCCAACCTCCCACCCTGGGGGTTACATTTCAATGTGAGGTTTGAAGGGGTCAAACATCTAAACTAAAGCAGTTGTATCCTCAGCACGTTCTATGGTTACTACAACTGAGAAAGCAGGAGGAAGCTAGGTCTCCCGCCATCTGGGTGCTTGTCCTAAAGAGACGTTGTATGTGGTTACCTGTCAATCAAGAAATGTGAGACAATTCATATAGAGGAACTGCTATGATTAGCTTCTTATTGGTGTCTTGTCTTCCTCCAGGTAACTCCAGACACCTGCACGTTCTGATTGGGACCTCAGTGGTCATCATCCCCTTTGCTATCCTCCTCTTCTTTCTCCTTCATCGCTGGTGTGCCAACAAAAAGAGTAAGTCTCACGAAGCAGAAGCCAGAGAGCTCAGGGCCATGTGGGGAAGCAGGATGGGAGCACTCAGGTGTGTGTTCCTCACAGGCAGGATGGTCCCTGGCCCAAGGCAGGAGCCACAGAGGCAGGACTTTCTAGAGAGAGCACCAGACTCCCTGCCTCTGCCTTCAGCTCACAGACCATTGCCTGATTCTGAACCGTATCCTCACATCCCCTGCAGCCACTCACATCCAGGAGAAGGTTCCATGACAGGCAGAAAGTGGGACACAGAATCAATAGGATGGGAACTCAGAGCTATACATGGGATGGATCCTTGAGCTCAGAGAGATAGAATGTCTGAGTCTGCTGTTGGCAACTGAGGGACCTCAGGCACCTATGGCCTCCCCCTGTATGTTGGTATCTGCTTATGAAATGAGGACCCAGAAGTGCCCTCCGAGCTGTTTTGACGACTTCCGTCTTCTACAGATGCTGTTGTAATGGACCAAGAGCCTGCAGGGAACAGAACAGTGAACAGGGAGGTAGGTGCTCCTCCGCCCAGCCTCGTGGCTAGTCTTATTCCCAAAGAGTCCTGGAAAATGTGAGCACCCTCCCTCACTCAGCATTTCCCTCCCTCCAGGACTCTGATGAACAAGACCCTCAGGAGGTGACATACGCACAGTTGAATCACTGCGTTTTCACACAGAGAAAAATCACTCGCCCTTCTCAGAGGCCCAAGACACCCCCAACAGATACCAGCGTGTAACACGGAACTTCCAAATGCTGAGCGCAGATCCAAAGTTGTCTTCTGTCCACTAGCACCACAGTCAGGCCTTGATGGGATCTTCTAGGGAGACAATAGCCCTGTCTCAAAACCGGGTTGCCAGCTCCCATGTACCAGCAGCTGGACTCTGAAGGCGTGAGTCTGCATCTTAGGGCATCGCTCTTCCTCACACCACGAATCTGAACATGCCTCTCTCTTGCTTACAAATGTCTAAGGTCCCCACTGCCTGCTGGAGAGAAAACACACTTGCTTAGCCCACAATTCTCCATTTCACTTGACCCCTGCCCACCTCTCCAACCTAACTGGCTTACTTCCTAGTCTACTTGAGGCTGCGATCACACTGAGGAACTCACAATTCCAAACATATAAGAGGCTCCCTCTTAACACGGCACTTAGATACGTGCTATTCCACCTTTCCTCAGAGTATCTTTCAGCCTTCTGTCAGCAGTAAAACTTATAAATTTTTTTTATAATTTCAATGTAGTTTTCTATTCTTCAAGTAAACATGTCTGCCCTCATGGTTTCGTCAATGGGACTCTTTTCTTGCCTAAGGCTTCCGGTGTTATCATTACCACGTCCACATAACCCCATCTGTTCTCCGCTGGGTTCTCACCCCTGGACTCTGAGCTTCTGGAAGCAGGGTGGAGCCTGAATTGTCTCTGAGACTCCAGTTTCCATCCAAAGATGCAGCACATAGGAGGTTCCAAGGATGGTGAATCAGATGAACAAGTGATATTCTTACTCTCTGCAGATCTGGAAAGCTGGCAGAGTCATTCCACGATGAAACATTTGTAGAGTCATAGGCCTTGTTAGTCTCATCTCCACAGGGACACGTATCAACACATCATCTTTCATACTACTATAAATAGACAGTCACTCCTCCATATCTCTGGGGTTTACACATGTTTATTGAATCAGCAATAAATCAAAAATATTTTGAGAAAAAAAATCCCCGAAGTTTCAAAAAGCAAAAAACTATGTTGAATCGACACAAATTGAGTGGCGTGTAGGCTGTGTCAGGAATTATAAGTAATCAAGAGATGATTTCATGTATACAGGAGGATGTGCATGGGTTCTATGCAATTGCTATGCTATTTTTTTTTTTGAGACAGTCTCACTCTCTCACCCAGGCTGGAGTGCAGTGGCGTGATCTCAACTCACTGCAACCTCCGCCTTCCAGGTTCAAGCGATTCTCTTCCCTCAGCCTCCTCAGTAGCCTCCCCTAGGATTACAGGCACGTGCCACCCTGCACAGATAAATTTTTTTGTGTGTGTATTTTTAGTAGAGACGGGGTTTCAGAATGTTGGACCAGCTGGTCTTGAACTCCTGACCTTGTGATCTACCCAGCTCAGCCTCCCAAAGTGCTGGGATTACGGGCGTGAGCCACGGTGCCCAGCTTCACTATGCCATTTCATGCAAGGGGCTTGAGCATCTGCAGATTTTGGTATCTGAATGGGGATCCTGGAACCAATCACCCAGGTATAGTGAAGGACCATGGTATATAATTTTTATTTGTCAATCTTAAAAATAAAGCATAAAAAATTTACAACAACAAGATAAAAAATAAGAAGTGTTTTTATAGTGTGAGGATAAGTTTAGATTTATTTTTTCCTACGTGTAACCCTATGGTCCTGTGTTATTTGTTGAGAAAATATTCTATTCCACCTTAAACTACATGGCAGCCTTTGTCAACTATAAAGGGACTGTGTATCCACAGATGTATTTTAGACACAGTTTTCTGTCCAGTGGTTCTCTGTATCCCCTCTCATGAGGATGCTGCATTTTATATAAACTTATAGAACCCCTTAAAATTTGGTAACCTGAGTCCTCTGATTTGTTATTATAGGTTATTTAGTTTGCTTTTTTTTTTTCTTGAGACAGACTCTTCCTCTGTCACCCAAGCTGGAGTTCAGTGGCTTGAGCTCAGCTCACTGCAACCTCCGCCTCCCAGGTTCAAGCTATTCTGATGCCTCTGGTTTAGTACTAGAAACTCAAGCAGGAAAATTAGAATGGCTTCTTGTCACAATTACTCTGATAATGTTAATAATACCTGTTAGACATTTTGCACATTACATATGAAGAAGAGTTTGAATCTCAGATAAAAACAAAAATACATCAAAAATCTTTAATGTAAGCACAGAATTCAATCATCTCGTGTATGAGAGGTTGGATCTGAGACGTCTTTTGAGTCTGGTCGTAGTGAAGGACGCAAGGTGTCAATTCTAGTGAGAACAATTTCCAGGAAGCCATGTTCCGCTCTTGAGCGAGCACCCACTGGGCCTCATGCAAGGTAGAAAGAGCCTGCGTACGTCACCCTCCCATGATGTGGTCAACATGTAAACTGCATGGGCAGGGCGCCAAATAACATCCTGTGCGCTGCTGAGCTGAGCTGGGGCGCGGCCGCCTGTCTGCACAGACAGCACCATGTCGCTCATGGTCGTCAGCATGGCGTGTGTTGGTGAGTCCTGGAAGGGAATCGAGGGAGGGAGTGCGGGGATGGAGATCGGGGCCCAGAGTTGGAGATATAGGCCTGGAAGTGGAGTTATGGGCCTAGAGATGGAGTGATGGGCCTAGAAGTGGAGATCTGGGCCTGGAGTGGAGATATGGGCCTGGAGGTTGAGATATGGGCCTGCAGTAGAGATATGGGCTTGTAGTGGAGACATGGGCCTGGAGATGGAGATATGGGCCTGGAGATGGAGATATGGGCCTGCAGTAGAGATATGGGCCTGGAGTGGAGATATGGGCCTGGAGTGGAGATATGGATCTGGAGGTGGAGATACGGGCCTGCAGTAGAGATATGGGCCTGGAGTGGAGATATGGGCCAGGAGTGGAGTTATGGGCCTAGAGGTGGATATCTGGGCCTGGAGTGGAGATATGGGCCTAGGAAGGAGATATGGGCCTGGGTGTGGAGATATGGGACTGGAGAGGTGATATGGGCCTGGAGTGGAGATATGGGCTTAGGGTGGAGATCTGGGCCTGGGGCAGAGATATGGGACTGGATTGGAGATATGGGCCTAGGGTGGAAATATCAGCCTGGAGTGGAGATATGGGCTTGTGGTGGGGATCTGGGCCTGGAAACTGGGTCTCTGCACAGCCGACAGCCCTGTTCTTGGGTGCAGGTAGGCACTGAGGGTGAGTTTAACTTCAGCCCAGGAAGGGCCTGGCTGCCAAGACTCACAGCCCAGTGGGGGCAGCAAGGGAGTCCTGGTTTGCCTGCAGATGGATGGTCCATCATGATCTTTCTTTCCAGGGTTCTTCTTGCTGCAGGGGGCCTGGCCACATGAGGGTGAGTCCTTCTCCAAACCTTCGGTTGTCATCTCCCCACATAAGAGGATTTTCCTGAAACAGGAGGGAAGTCCTGTCAGGGAGTCTCTCATAAACTGGGAAGAGAGGACCCTGGGGTGCTCGGCCCACATTTCTGACCTTGCCTCCCTGGCCTCTCAACCCCTTGGCAGAGTCAAGTTCTGTGGGGACCAGGGTTAGACTGGGGTGCTCAAAGCTGGGGTGTGTGGTGGGGAAGTGGTAGGAACAGCAGATCCTCTGAGGACAAAGGTGTTACTCACACACTTCAGCGTTTCCATGATGGTAGGGGCTGCAGTGTGGCTGCTGTCATTCTACCAGAAGAGGTGGGAAACCACAGCCATGGCCCTGACATTCCAAATCCTCTGATGGGGGCTCAGTTGTTTATTTTCGTTCAGGCATCCGCTGATATCCACTCACAAAGGACATGCCCTCCACCTCATGTCTACCCTGTGTTGTTTTATGTGAGTAATCTTACAGTATTAAAATCTAGTAGGAGTCTCTTTACTCAGCACTTGCTCAAAGTTCTCAGCTGAGGCTTTTGTTGTAGGGAGACACCATGTCTTTGCGGGATGGGTCCTTCCTTCAGCCCTGGGCACCAAGGTGTGATAGTAGCCATAGAAACGTGGAAAGCGAGGAGAATCTTCTGAGCACAGGGAGGGAGGGGCAGTTCCACATCCTCCTCTCTAAGGCGGCGCCTCCTTCTCCCCAAGGTGGTCAGGACAAGCCCTTGCTGTCTGCCTGGCCCAGCCTTGTGGTGCCTCTAGGACATGTCATTCTTCGGTGTCACTCTTATCTTGGGTTTAACAACTTCAGTCTGTACAAGGAAGGTGGGGTGCCTGTCCCTGAGCTCTACAACAGAATATTCTGGAACAGCCTTTTCATGGGCCCTGTGACCCCCGCACAACAGGGACATACAGATGTCGGGGTTCACACACACACTCCCCCAGTGGGTGGTCAGCACCCAGCAACCCCCTGGTGATCGTGGTCATAGGTCAGAGGGCTCCTGTCTTGGATTCTCCTTGTCCCACCTCCTGAATCCCAGAGCTTCTGGTGGGCATGTCCTTGAGGGTCCCATCACGCAGGCCCTGACTGTATTTGTGGTAAAGGGGGATTGAATACAGGGAAATGGGTGCTGTGGTGGGAAGAATAATTGTCCCCAGTGATGACTACATTCTAATCCCTGGAGTCTGTGACTATGTATGTTATAGGGGAAGGGACTGAAGGGGAAGATGGAGCTCATGGGGAGACAGCCTGGACTGTCCCACTGGGCTCAGTGTAATCACAAGGGTGCACATGAAAGGAGGAGGAAGAGGGGAGTGGGGATTAGAGCAGTCCAGTGGAAGTCTTCACCAGCTTTGAAGGTGGAGGAAGGCCAAGAGCCATGAATGCAGGTGGCCTATAGAGGCTGGAAAAGTCAAGGAACTGATTCTCCAGAGTCTCCAGAGGAAACGAAGCCCTGCAGATGCCTTGATTTTAGCCCAGGAAAAATAGGGTCCAATTTCTGTCTCCAGTACTGGAAGGTGTCAGTGTGGTCTCTCCTGCTTCCATGCTTCTGATAATTTTGTACAGCAGCAACAGGAAACCAACACTGGAACCCAGGTCAAGGACAAGTTAAGAAACAACCCAAGGAAAGCCAGGCATGGTGGCAGGCGCATGTAATCCTAGCGACTCAGGAGGCTGAGGGCAGGAGAATCACTTGAACCCAGGAAACAGAGGTTGCAGTGAGCCTAGACCACACCACTTCACTCCAGCCTGGGTGAAGGAGTGAGACTCTGTCTCCAAAATTAATTAATTAATTAAAGAAACCAAACAAGGAGAAGGTTGGCTACCCTGAGATCAGCAAGGGTGGGATGATGATGCCACCACCAGGCTCCATCCACATAGGGAGGGGTTGATACTCCTCCAACCAGCACCAGGAGCCAGCCTATGGAAGCTGGCACCATGGAGAAGGCACAGGCATGGCAAGAGTGGCTCCCAGTCCCGACCAGGAACAGGGTGTGTGGACACTGGTGCCTGCCTTATTCATCAGTTCATACCTTCTGCCAAGGATTGCAATTCATCCAAAAGAGATTGAACAAGGCTGATAAGAGCCTGGATGTGCAGCCTATCCTGGTTCCTCTTTCACCCCCACATAAACAGCAGGAAAGACGTTAGTGTGAAATAGATACAACACCCCAAGAGATGAGGCTAAGCCCAGTGGGAAGGGAATCAGAGGCTACTAGAGACAGAGGGACAGAGAAGAGGGAGGGAGACAGATGGAAGGACCTGCACCAGGAGTTATGGGCACAGAAAAGAACATGAAGACACAGAGAGGAAGGAGAGAGACAGACACCAGCAAGGGGAAGCCTCACTCATTCTAGGTGCCATGGATGGGATGATAAAGAGAGACACCTTCTAAACTCACAACCTCTCTTCTTAGGAGTCCACAGAAAACCTTCCCTCCTGGCCCACCCAGGTCCCCTGGTGAAATCAGAAGAGACAGTCATCCTGCAATGTTGGTCAGATGTCAGGTTTGAGCACTTCCTTCTGCACAGAGAGGGGAAGTATAAGGACACTTTGCACCTCATTGGAGAGCACCATGATGGGGTCTCCAAGGCCAACTTCTCCATCGGTCCCATGATGCAAGACCTTGCAGGGACCTACAGATGCTACGGTTCTGTTACTCACTCCCCCTATCAGTTGTCAGCTCCCAGTGACCCTCTGGACATCGTCATCACAGGTGAGAGTGTCCGGACATTCTCATTGTCATTGGGCTGCAGAGTGAATGATCCACGACTTGGAACCCCCAGGTAGTTGTAAGGAAGATGAGCTTGGTATTCTTATGGAGAGAGACTGACTTGCTGAGGTTTGTACCAACAGAGACAGAGAAACAGGAGACACAAGTACAGACCAGGTGTCATAACGGAGGACAGACACAGGGGCCATACAGGGAGTTAGAAAAGACAGAAAGAGTTAAAGGAGACAGACAGACAGACATGTCCCAGAGAGAGGTGTCCCTCCATGCTGACTTTGCTCACAGACCTGGCACAGGATAGAAGTTTCATTTCTGTTTTACCTCCACAAAGTGTTCTCTACCAGGAGAACCCAAGGACACCCATATTTCTGACCTGAGTTGGGCCCTGTGGCCTCAGGCCTTGTGGCACCTACAGGCCATGTTTATTCTGACACCTCTGCCTTCCATGTAATGGAGAGTAACCGTCCCAGGATATCATGGCCCCAGAACACCAACCCCTGTATGCTGTGTGAACTTGTGGTCTCCAGACTGGATTCTGAGGCTCACATTCCAAATAACCCCACATATGAAAGGATCACTGAGAGGCACAGAGAGAAATCAGGAACACCAAAAAGCAAAGACATAAACACACAGAGAATGGGCCAGAGGAAGGAGATTGAGAGACTCACTGACACATAAAGAGAGAGAAAAGAGGGCAGAGGAGTGGTGAGAATGATGGAAGGGAGCAGAGAAAAGCACTAAAATTAGAGTCCTGAGGGAGAGGCACAAGGACATAGAAAGATGGAGATGTGGGGATGAACTGCAGAGATTCCAAAGAGAACTAGAGAGACCGAGAGGCAGAGCAAGACAGATGATAGATGGATAGATATAGATAGATGATAAATAGGTAGATGATAGATAATAGGTTAAAGATACATAGATGATGATTGATTGATTCATTAATAGATAATACATAGAGATGATGATGATGAAGACAGATAGATAATACGTACAGATAGAGAGGCAGACAGAAATCATAGAGAGAGAGATGATACATACATATAAATAACAGATGATTGATGGATAGATAGACAACTGATAGATACATAGATGATATATAGATATAGATGACAGGTAGAGAATTTGTAGATAGGCACCGAATAGATAAATAGATAGATCGACAGATAATAGATAGAAATATGCAGAAAGTTATGAACAGGACACAACGTGAGAAACTTAGAATTTAAAAAAGTAACATCAAGTCAACCAATCCAAGGAGAGTCAGAGAGAATAAAAGAATCCAAAAAGGGAAAACATATCTAGAGGTGGGGAAGCGAGGTCAGAGACCTAGAGAGACAGAGAAGGTGGAAGGAGGAAATAGACATGAAGAGAGATGGGGTGGAGGGTGAGAGAGAGAGAGAGAGAGCATTAGGTCATAGAGCAGGGGAGTGAGTTCTCAGCTCAGGTGAAGGGAGCTGTGACAAGGAAGATCCTCCCTGAGGAAAATGCCTCTTCTCCTTCCAGGTCTATATGAGAAACCTTCTCTCTCAGCCCAGCCGGGCCCCACGGTTTTGGCAGGAGAGAGCGTGACCTTGTCCTGCAGCTCCCGGAGCTCCTATGACATGTACCATCTATCCAGGGAGGGGGAGGCCCATGAACGTAGGTTCTCTGCAGGGCCCAAGGTCAACGGAACATTCCAGGCCGACTTTCCTCTGGGCCCTGCCACCCACGGAGGAACCTACAGATGCTTCGGCTCTTTCCGTGACTCTCCCTATGAGTGGTCAAACTCGAGTGACCCACTGCTTGTTTCTGTCACAGGTGAGGAAACCCCATATCTGTCTCATGTCCTATGATCCTAGAGCCTTAGCTGAGGAGCTTCCTGCTGATGATGGAGAGAAGCATGGACAGATGCAGAGAGAAGACGAAGCTTGGGTGTGAGGGAGGGATCAGGGCACAGGATGGCAGACAGGGCACCTCCAAACCCTCCTACACGGCCTGCATGAAGGCCCGCGGCCAGGGCTCCAGGCACACAGGCAGATGGAGAAAACGGTCAGGAGAGACCCAGAGGAGAGAGACTGGGCTCAGTTTGGGAAGATCAGAGGTTCCCTCAGCCCCTCAACATTATCCATTTCCCAGAAGCCCATCCTGGCCTCTCACCCACACAGGGATGTCATCACCAGCAACCCCTACACCCTTTACTTTTGTTTGAAGAAATATTTATTGAGGATAAATATACCTATATAGCTTACCACCTTTAACATTTTTTTTTTTTTTGAGGCAGAGTCTAGCTCTGTCCCCTATGCTGGAGTGCAGTGGCACAATCTCAGCTCACTGCAATTTCCGCCTCCTGGGTTCAAGCGATTCTCTTGCCTCAGCCACCTGAGTAGCTGGTGCTACAGGCGCGCACCACCACGCCAGGCTACTTTTTGTATTTTTAGTAGAGAGGTGGTTTCACCATGTTGGTCGAGCTGGTCTCCAACTCCTGACCACGTGATCCACCCGCATGTGCCTCCCAAAGTGCTGGGATTACAGGCATGAGCCACCACGCCCAGCCACATTTACCATTTTTAAGTGTAAAGTCTAGTGGTCATAAATACATTTATATATATATATTTTTTTTTTTTTTTTTTACCCTCCACCCTTTTCTTCCTGGCCTCTGGAAGCCATCATTCTACTCTCTACCTTCATGAGATCCACCTTTTAGCTCTGTATATGGGTGAGAAATGGGAATCTTTGTAATGACTTCCAGTTCCATCCATGTGGCTGCAAATATCAGGATGTTATTCTTTCTATGGATGAGTAGTCTCCACTGTGCGTATGTACTACATTCTCTCTATCCATTCATCCACTGATGGGCAGGTAGGTTGACTCCACATCTTGGCTACTGTGAACAGTGCTGCACCAATCATACGAGTGCAGATATCACTTCGATATATTGATTTACTTTCCTTTGGATATAAACCCAGTAGTGAAATTGCTGGATACTATGAAAGTTCTCTTTTTAGTTTTTCGTTTGTTGTTTTGTTTTTGTTTTTGAGACAGTTTCCCTCTGTGCCCAGGCTGGAGTACAAGTGATGTCATCTTGGCTCATTGCAACCTCTGCCTCCTGGGTTCAAATGATTTTCCTGCCTCAGCCTCCCTAGTAGCTGGGATTACAGGTGCACGCCACCATGCCTGGCTACTTTTTGTTTTTTTTAGTATAGATGGGGTTTCCCCATGTTGGCTGGGCTGCTCTCAAACTCATGACCTCAACTGAGATGCCCGCCTCAGTCTCCCAAAGTGCCGGGATTACAGGCCTGATCCACCACACCCAACCTCTTTTTAGTTCTTTAAAGGACTTCCATACTTTTCTCCGTAATCGCTGTACTAATTTACACTCCTCCCAACAGGGTACCAGGGTTCTCCTTTCTCTACCACCTTGCCAGCATTTCTTTTGCCTGTCTTGCAGCTAAAAGCCATTTTATTTTATTTCATTTTATTTTGAGATGGAGTTTTGCTCTTCTCACCCAGGCAGGAGTGCAGTGGCGCTATCTCGGCTCACCACAACCTCCACCTCCCAGGTTCAAGCGATTCTCCTGCCTCAGCCTCCCGAGTAGCTGGAATTACAGGCACACTCCACCACGCCCGACTAATTTTTGTATTTTTAGTAGAGACAGTGTTTCTCTATGTGGGTCAGACTGGTCTCAAACTCCTGACCTTATGAGATTCACCCACCTCAGGCTCTCAAAGTTCTAGGATGACAGACGTGAGCCACCACGCCCGGCCTAAAAGCCATTTTAATGGGGTGAGATGAAAACTCACTTTGATTTTAATTTGCGTTTCTCTGATGATGAGTGATACTGAGCACTTTTTAGTATGTGGGGAAATTTCATGTCTTCTGCTCCTTTTTCAATTAAATCATTTGTTTTATTGAGTTGTTTGAGCTTCTTATATTTCTAGTTATTAATCCCATCTCAGATGCATAGTTTGCACATATTTGCTCCCAATCTGTGGGTTGTCTCTTCACTTTGTTGGTTTATTTTTAGCAGTGCAGAAGTTGCTTAGTTTGAGGTAATCCCAATGGTCTATTTTTGCTTCGATTACTTGTGTTTTCAAGGTTTAAAACAAAATGTCTTTCTTCAGACAAATGTCCTGGAGCATTTCCCCAATATTTTGTTCTACGTGTTTCATAGGTTCAGGCCTTAGACTCACATCTTTAATCCATTTTCATTTGATTTTTGTGTATGGTGACAGGTAGAGGTGCAGTTTCATTCCTCTGCATGTCGATGTCCAGGTTTCCCTGCACTGTTTATTGAAAAGACTGTCCTTTCCTGATTGTGAGTTCTTGGCACCTTTGTCAAAGTCCATTGGATGGGCTGGGCTTGGTGGCTGACACCTGCAATTTCAGCACTTTGGGAGGCCGAGGCGGGTGGATTACCTGAGGCCAGGAGTTCAAGATCAGTCTGGACGACGTGATGAAACATCGTCTCCACTAAAAATATAAAAATTAGCTGAGCATGGTGGTCAGCACCTGTAATACCACTACTCAGGAGTTTGAGGCAAGAGAATGATTGAACCCAGGAGGCTGAGGTTGCAGTGAACTGAGATTGCACCTCTGCACTCCAGCCTGAGTGACAGAGCAAGACTCCATCTCAAAAGAAAAAATAAAAAACCATTGGATGTAAATGCATGGAATATATCTGTGTTATTCATTCTGCTCCGTTGTTCTATGTCCCTTTCTTTATGCCAATGTCATGCTGTTTTGCTTACTACAGCTCTGTAACATATTTTGAGATCAGGTAGTGTGATGCTCCTGTTTTCTCTTTATACCTTGAAGTCTCAAGACAGTGGGCGTCACATAAAAAAATTATGGAAAAAAGGATCCCAGGACTCCCAGGGCCCAATATTAGATAACAGAGTGTTGGCCATGAACCATCCTCAAAGATTTCCACTGAGTAGAGGACAGACACCCTCATTTCCTCACCTCTCTCCTGTCTCATGTTCTAGGAAACCCTTCAAATAGTTGGCCTTCACCCACTGAACCAAGCTCCAAAACCGGTGAGTACAGAACCCTCTTATATCCGCTTTTGGAAACCTGGGGAGGTGGAAACCTTGGATTCAGGCGTTGACTCAGCATCTCACAGCTCTGACATTGTACCCCTGTCTTCCACCATCTCCGAACTCCAGATACTCCTACAGCGAAAGGGATCTGGGTCCAACACAGGGCTCAGTGAAATCTCTTCATCTCTCATTTTATGGAGCTGAGACTTCCTACAAGCTAGAAGAATGATTGCCAATCTGACATCCTTCTCAGGAAAAATGCAATGTTTGTTCTGCCTGCATTCCTAACTGGAGGATAAATTCCTGGAGACTTGAGAGAGGGAAGGGAAGGGAACATCTGATGAGGGCGAGGTGTTTTAGAGAAGTTCCACTTGCCAAGGAATGAGCTCCTATAGGTCATGAAGCAACCCTGGCTGACTCAGCAGAGAAAGAGCCTTGCTGTAACAGAGAACAGAGCTCATGCACGCACACTTCGACTCACTGACTCATTCAGCCACGGCCCCATGCTCAGGCTGTGCACTGTGGAAGCTTTTCCTATTGTTGCCATAACAAATTTCCACAAGATTCGTGGGTGAAAACAAAACGGTTTTTTAATTATCTTACAGTGCTGTAGCTCAAAGTATGAAGTGCATCTCACTGGGCTAAAATCAAGGTGACAGCAAGGCTGCCTTCCCTCTGAGGATTCCAGGCAAGAATCTGCTTCTCACTTTTCTCAGCTTCTAGAGGCTCCCACATTCCTTCGCTCCTGGTCCCCTTCCTCCTTCCTCAAAGCCCACAAAGACTGGTCACATCTCACATGGCATCACTCAGACCCTTCTTCCTTACCACACCTCTTTCTCTGAATGCTGCTCTCCCTTCTTCCTCATCTTTTGAAAACTTGGGGATTCTATTGGGTTCACCAAGATGAAAATCCATCATAATCTCCCGGAAATCATTCAGGATACCCTTGTTTTAAGTTCAGCTGATTAGCAACCATAATTCCATCTGCAATCTTCATTCCTCCTTTCCATGTAAAATAAGATATTCACAAGCTATGGAGGCTAGGACAGGGACATTTTGGGGTGGGACAGCATTCTCCTGCCTTCCACAAACAGTGAACAAGATGCATTTGGCCTCTGCTCTTTGGACACTGATATTGCAGATGGTTAAATGGGAGGGCAGAAAATGAATGCACAAGTGGACCAATAAATGAATGATCCATTGGGAAGCATCTGTGTATGAAATCTATTTGTTTGTTTCTTCATTTGTTTATTGAGACAGAGTCTCCCTCTGTCTTCCAGGCTACAGTGCAGTGTCACCATCTTGGCTCACTGCAACCTGCACCTTCTGGATCCAAGTGATTCTCCTGCGTCAGCCTCTCAAGTAGCTGGGATTACAGGCAACTGCCACCATGCCCGGCTAATTCTTTTTGTATATTTTTTGTAGAGGATGTTTCACCATCTTCGCCAAGCTTCTCTGAAACTCCCAACCTCAAGTGATCCGACCGTCTCAGCATCCTAAAGTACTGGGATAACTGGCGTGAGCCACTGTGCCCAGCCAGAATTTAAAATAAATAATACATAATGCTGAGTGTATGATTTTGGGTGACAGAGAAGATCTCACTAATCAGATATTTGTGACATTAATGAAAAACACGGATTGAACCCCTGAAAGATTGGCGGAAGGATTTTCCACACACAGCTGTCAGCCGTGAAGGCAGAAAGCTGAAAACAATCTGATGTGGAAGGAAGAGGCTCTGCCTCAAATGCTGGGAATGAGGTGGGGAGAATGACAAGACGACTGTGGAGAGACGGAGAGCACACTGGGTACACAGGAAACTAAGGAGCAACAAGGAGTGTGTGTTTGACACTCACAGCCATTGGATTCACCTCGGGGTAGCCAGGAATCCCTACATGATTAATAGTGACTGACATGAAAATAAGGGAGGCCCAGGTGCGTAACTGGAATCTAGGAGACTGTGGAAAAGGCAATTCCCGCCCCACTGGTGAAATGTGGTGCTGATTTAGACCCTAACTGGGTGAAGCAGATGGATATAAGCTATGCTTGTGAGGTGGAATCATTGGCTGGAAAGGCTTGCTGGGTATGATTTTCCTAGTTGTCTAATCCTCGCTTAATTTCTTTCTGAGCTTTATTCCTACTACACATAAATCAATACCTGGCAAAGGAGTGACAGATATATGAGGGGTGGTGGAAATGAAGGGACCTATTATAGCATAATATACAAGTCTGTGAACGGTGGCTCACGCCTGTAACCCAGCACTGCAGGAGGCCAAGGCGGGTGGATCACATGAAGTCAGCAGTTCGAGACCAGCCTGGCCAACATGGTGAAACCCTGTCTCTAGGAAAAACACAAAAATTAGCCGAGCATGGTGGTGCATCCCTGTAATCCCAGCTCCTACTCTGGAGGATGAAGCAGGAGAATGACTTCAACCCAGGAGGTGGAGGTTGCAGTGAGTGGAGATTGCATCACTGCACTCCAGCCTGGGTGACACAAGGAGACTCCGTCTCAAAAAATAAAAATAAGAAATGCATAAATATAAATATAATATAACACATGCAAATGAGAAAGGGACCTGAATTCCAATCATGATTTTTCTATTTCTCTATAATTACTTCTTTGATCCTTTATCTTATCCATTAGGCAATGAGCCTAAAACCTCTTCCCTATTTGGCTTTCTGTGAGCATGAGATCATATAGAAAATGTGAAAGCCCGCTGAATCCTCCAGCACAGATCCTGGAATACACAAAGTGCTCTGTTCATCACAAGAAAACATGCCCTCTCACCCAAATCCCCCACCTCACCCCTACTTCCAATCATCTGTGGAGATTCAGATAGGCCATGGGGAGGTAAATTCTAATACTCCTTGGAGTGAGTCCAGATCTTGGAATCAGAGATTAGCGTCAGCAGTAGCTCCTGCTCCCCTTTCCTACTAATTCACAGGAGGACAGGTGGTATTGAAGCAATAGATGGCCGAGGGGGTGGTCCTTCCCCCAGCCTCTCGGGTAGAACAGCAACCTAACATGTGTCTCCTGAGATCACAAAGAGTAGCACGTTTCACATGGGCTTCAACACTGTTTCCTGGCCATTTGACATAAGAGAATTCTACTTCGCTTTTTTTATCTTGATTTCACTTTTGTTTCCTTTTCTTGGAGAATGCAAGTTGTTTGACTCAAGAATGCCGTGGATGTAGAAATCCTAAAGCACAGTCGCTGTGTATCAATCCCAGTGCAGTCTTCCCAGAGAAGACTCTAAACACCTCCTGGACTGCACCTGGGCCTATGCCAATTCCTATCACTCACCGTCACTCCAGGGAGACAGAACACACAGAGAATACATTACACAGGCAGGTTCATTACTAACAGATAAGCAGCGAGTGACAACAGAAGCCTACATTTCAATGTGAGCCAGTCCCTCAAGGCTCAGAAAAGCTGCTCGGGACATATGGAGTCACCCCATTTGCAGTGTAGCTGCGGGAAGCCAGAAAGCAGCCCAGCCTGGGTTTTGTACCCTGGAGCCACAGGAAGCACTCAGCTAAAGCACTGCATGACGCCTTCCTCCAGGAAGAACAGGAAGACAGCCCAGGCTGTTCTGAGACATTCCTCCTGATCTCAGGTCGTTGCTGTCTTAGTTTTTTTTTTTGTTGCTCTGAAGGAACACTTGAGCCTCGGTAACTTCTAAAGAAAAGAGATCGGTTTGCCTCACAGTTCTGCAGGCTGTACTGGAAGCATGGCACCAGAATCTATTTCTCGTGATGGCCTCAGGCTGCTCCCACTCTGGCAGAAGGGAAGGAGGGTCTGTCTGTGCAGAGACCACAGAGATCACACGGCAAGAGAGAGAGTAAGGGGGAGAGGGAGCAATGGAGCTTCCAAGCTCTTTTTAACAACCAGCTGTCCAGGAACTAACAGAGGGGGAACTTGCTAACCCCGTCTCCTTGGGACAGCATTGATCTGTTCATGATGGATCCACCTCCATGACCCAAACACCTCTGAAGAGGCCCAACCTCCCACAATGGGGGTGAAATTTCAATGTGAGGTTTGAAGGGGTCAAACATCTCAACTAAAGTAGTTGTATCCTCAGCACGTTCTATGGTTACTATGAGAGCTATAATTGAGAAAGCAGGGGAAAGCTAGGTCTCCCGCCATTTGGGTGCTTGTCCTAAAGAGACGTTGTATGTGGTTACCTGCCAATCAAGAAATGCGAGACAATTCATAAAGAGGAACTGCTATGATTAGCTTCTTATTGGTGTCTCCTCTTCTTCCAGGTAACCCCAGACACCTGCATGTTCTGATTGGGACCTCAGTGGTCAAAATCCCTTTCACCATCCTCCTCTTCTTTCTCCTTCATCGCTGGTGCTCCAACAAAAAAAGTAAGTCTCACGAAGCAGAGGCCAGAGAGCTCAGGGCCATGTGGGGAAGCAGGATGGGAGCACTCAGGTGTGTGTTCCTCACCAGCAGGATGGTCCCTGGCCCAAGACAGGAGCCACAGAGGCAGGACTTTCTAGAGAGAGCACCAGATTCCCTTCCCCTGCCTTCAGCTCACAGACCGTTGCCTGATTCTGAACTGTACCCTCACGTCCCCTGCAGCCACTCACATCCAGGAGAAGGTTCCATGACAGGCAGAAAGTGGGAGATAGAATCAATGGGATGGGAACTCAGAGCTATTCATGGGATGGGTCCTTGAACTCAGAGAGATAGAATGTCTGAGTCTGCTGTTGGCAACTGAGGGACCTCAGGCACCTATGGCCTCCCCCTGTTTGTTGGTATCTGCTTATGAAATGAGGACCCAGAAGTGCCCTCCGAGCTCTTTTGTTGACTTCCGTCTTCTACAGATGCTGCTGTAATGGACCAAGAGCCTGCAGGGAACAGAACAGTGAACAGCGAGGTAGGTGCTCCTCGGCCCAGCCTCGTGGCTAGTCTTATTCCCAAAGAGTCCTGAAAAATGTGAGCACCCTCCCTCACTCAGCATTTCCCTCTCTCCAGGATTCTGATGAACAAGACCATCAGGAGGTGTCATACGCATAATTGGATCACTGTGTTTTCACACAGAGAGAAATCACTCGCCCTTCTGAGAGGCCCAAGACACCCCCAACAGATACCAGCATGTACATAGAACTTCCAAATGCTGAGCCCAGATCCAAAGTTGTCTTCTGTCCACGAGCACCACAGTCAGGCCTTGAGGGGATCTTCTAGGGAGACAACAGCCCTGTCTCAAAACCGGGTTGCCAGCTCCCATGTACCAGCAGCTGGAATCTGAAGGCATCAGTCTTCATCTTAGGGCATCGCTCTTCCTCACACCACGAATCTGAACATGCCTCTCTCTTGCTTACAAATGTCTAAGGTCCCCACTGCCTGCTGGAGAGAAAACACACTCCTTTGCTTAGCCCACAATTCTCCATTTCACTTGACCCCTGCCCACCTCTCCAACCTAACTAGCTTACTTCCTAGTCTACCTGAGGCTGCAATCACACTGAGGAACTCACAATTCCAAACATACAAGAGGCTCCCTCTTAACACAGCACTTAGACACGTGCTGTTCCACCTCCCTTCAGACTATCTTTCAGCCTTCTGCCAGCAGTAAAACTTATAAATTTTTTAAATAATTTCAATGTAGTTTTCCCGCCTTCAAATAAACATGTCTGCCCTCATGGTTTCGGTAACGAGACTCTTCTCTTGCCTAAGGCTTCCGGTGTTATCATTACCATGTCCACATAACCCCATCTGTTCTCCATTGGGTTCTCAGCCCTGGACTCTGAGCTTCTGGAAGCAGAATGGAGCCTGAATTGTCTCTGAGACTCCAATTTCCATCCAAAGATACAGCACATAGGAGGCTCCAAGGATCGTGAATCACATGAACAAGTGATATTCTTACTCTCTGCAGACCTGGAAAGCTGGCAGAGTCATTCCACGATGAAACATTTGTAGAGTCATAGGCCTTGTTAGTCTCATCTCCACGGGGACACATATCAACATATCATCTTTCATAATATAAATATACAGTCGGTCCTCCATATCTGTGGGGTTTACAGGTGTTTATTGAACCAACAATAAATCAAAAATATTTTGAGAAAAAAATCCCCGAAGTTTCAAGAAGCAAAAAACTATGTTGAATCGACACAAATTGAGTGGCGTGTAGGCTGTGTCAGGAATTATAAGTAATCAAGAGATGATTTCATGTATACAGGAGGATGTGCATGGGTTCTATGCAATTGCTATGCTATTTTTTTTTTTTGAGACAGTCTCACTCTCTCACCCAGGCTGGAGTGCAGTGGCGTGATCTCAACTCACTGCAACCTCCGCCTCCCAGGTTCAAGCGATTGTCTTCCCTCAGCCTCCCCAGTAGCCTCCCCTAGGATTACAGGCACGTGCCACCATGCACAGATAAATTTTTTTGTGTGTGTATTTTTAGTAGAGACGGGGTTTCAGAATGTTGGACCAGCTGGTCTTGAACTCCTGACCTTGTGATCTACCCAGCTCAGCCTCCCAAAGTGCTGGGATTACGGGCGTGAGCCACGGTGCCCAGCTTCACTATGCCATTTCATGCAAGGGGCTTGAGCATCTGCAGATTTTGGTATCTGAATGGGGATCCTGGAACCAATCACCCAGGTATAGTGAAGGACCATGGTATATAATTTTTATTTGTCAATCTTAAAAATAAAGCATAAAAAATTTACAACAACAAGATAAAAAATAAGAAGTGTTTTTATAGTGTGAGGATAAGTTTAGATTTATTTTTTCCTACGTGTAACCCTATGGTCCTGTGTTATTTGTTGAGAAAATATTCTATTCCACCTTAAACTACATGGCAGCCTTTGTCAACTATAAAGGGACTGTGTATCCACAGATGTATTTTAGACACAGTTTTCTGTCCAGTGGTTCTCTGTATCCCCTCTCATGAGGATGCTGCATTTTATATAAACTTATAGAACCCCTTAAAATTTGGTAACCTGAGTCCTCTGATTTGTTATTATAGGTTATTTAGTTTGCTTTTTTTTTTTTCTTGAGACAGACTCTTCCTCTGTCACCCAAGCTGGAGTTCAGTGGCTTGAGCTCAGCTCACTGCAACCTCCGCCTCCCAGGTTCAAGCTATTCTGATGCCTCTGGTTTAGTACTAGAAACTCAAGCAGGAAAATTAGAATGGCTTCTTGTCACAATTACTCTGATAATGTTAATAATACCTGTTAGACATTTTGCACATTACATATGAAGAAGAGTTTGAATCTCAGATAAAAACAAAAATACATCAAAAATCTTTAATGTAAGCACAGAATTCAATCATCTCGTGTATGAGAGGTTGGATCTGAGACGTCTTTTGAGTCTGGTCGTAGTGAAGGACGCAAGGTGTCAATTCTAGTGAGAACAATTTCCAGGAAGCCATGTTCCGCTCTTGAGCGAGCACCCACTGGGCCTCATGCAAGGTAGAAAGAGCCTGCGTACGTCACCCTCCCATGATGTGGTCAACATGTAAACTGCATGGGCAGGGCGCCAAATAACATCCTGTGCGCTGCTGAGCTGAGCTGGGGCGCGGCCGCCTGTCTGCACAGACAGCACCATGTCGCTCATGGTCGTCAGCATGGCGTGTGTTGGTGAGTCCTGGAAGGGAATCGAGGGAGGGAGTGCGGGGATGGAGATCGGGGCCCAGAGTTGGAGATATAGGCCTGGAAGTGGAGTTATGGGCCTAGAGATGGAGTGATGGGCCTAGAAGTGGAGATCTGGGCCTGGAGTGGAGATATGGGCCTGGAGGTTGAGATATGGGCCTGCAGTAGAGATATGGGCTTGTAGTGGAGACATGGGCCTGGAGATGGAGATATGGGCCTGGAGATGGAGATATGGGCCTGCAGTAGAAATAGGGGCCTGGAGTGGAGATATGGGCCTGGAGTGGAGATATGGGCCTGAAGTGGAGATATGGGCCTGGAGGTGGAGATATGGGCCTGGAGGTGGAGATATGGGCCTGGAGTGGAGATATGGGTCTGGAGGTGGAGATACGGGCCTGCAGTAGAGATATGGGCCTGGAGTGGAGATATGGGCCAGGAGTGGAGTTATGGGCCTAGAGGTGGATATCTGGGCCTGGAGTGGAGATATGGGCCTAGGAAGGAGATATGGGCCTGGGTGTGGAGATATGGGACTGGAGAGGTGATATGGGCCTGGAGTGGAGATATGGGCTTAGGGTGGAGTTCTGGGCCTGGGGCGGAGATATGGGACTGGATTGGAGATAGGGGCCTAGGGTGGAGATCTGAGCCTGGATTGGCGATATGGGCCTAGGGTGGAAATATCAGCCTGGAGTGGAGATATGGGCTTGGGGTGGGGATATGGGCCTGGAAACTGGGTCTCTGCACAGCCGACAGCCCTGTTCTTGGGTGCAGGTAGGCACTGAGGGTGAGTTTAACTTCAGCCCAGGAAGGGCCTGGCTGCCAAGACTCACAGCCCAGTGGGGGCAGCAAGGGAGGGCTGGTTCGCCTGCAGATGGATCGTCCATCATGATCTTTCTTTCCAGGGTTCTTCTTGCTGCAGGGGGCCTGGCCACATGAGGGTGAGTCCTTCTCCAAACCTTCGGGTGTCATCTCCCCACATAAGAGGATTTTCCTGAAACAGGAGGGAAGTCCTGTCGGGGAGTCTCTCATAAACTAGGAAGAGAGGACCCTGGGGTGCTCAGCCCACATTTCTGACCTCGCCTCCCTGGCCTCTCAACCCCTTGGCAGAGTCAAGTTCTGTGGGGACCAGGGTTAGACTGGGGTGCTCAAAGCTGGGGTGTGTGGTTGGGAAGTGGTAGGAACAGCAGATCCTCTGAGGACAAAGGTGTTACTCACACACTTCAGCGTTTCCATGATGGTAGGGGCTGCAGTGTGGCTGCTGTCATTCTACCAGAAGAGGTGGGAAACCACAGCCATGGCCCTGACATTCCAAATCCTCTGATGGGGGCTCAGTTGTTTATTTTCGTTCAGGCATCCGCTGATATCCATTCACAAAGGACATGCCCTCCACCTCATGTCTACCCTGTGTTGTTTTATGTGAGTAATCTTACAGTATCAAAATCTAGTAGGAGTCTCTTTACTCAGCACTTGCTCAAAGTTCTCAGCTGAGGCTTTTGTTGTAGGGAGACACCATGTCTTTGCGGGATGGGTCCTTCCTTCAGCCCTGGGCACCAAGGTGTGATAGTAGCCATAGAAACGTGGAAAGCGAGGAGAATCTTCTGAGCACAGGGAGGGAGGGGCAGTTCCACATCCTCCTCTCTAAGGCGGCGCCTCCTTCTCCCCAAGGTGGTCAGGACAAGCCCTTGCTGTCTGCCTGGCCCAGCCTTGTGGTGCCTCTAGGACATGTCATTCTTCGGTGTCACTCTTATCTTGGGTTTAACAACTTCAGTCTGTACAAGGAAGGTGGGGTGCCTGTCCCTGAGCTCTACAACAGAATATTCTGGAACAGCCTTTTCATGGGCCCTGTGACCCCCGCACAACAGGGACATACAGATGTCGGGGTTCACACACACACTCCCCCAGTGGGTGGTCAGCACCCAGCAACCCCCTGGTGATCGTGGTCATAGGTCAGAGGGCTCCTGTCTTGGATTCTCCTTGTCCCACCTCCTGAATCCCAGAGCTTCTGGTGGGCATGTCCTTGAGGGTCCCATCACGCAGGCCCTGACTGTATTTGTGGTAAAGGGGGATTGAATACAGGGAAATGGGTGCTGTGGTGGGAAGAATAATTGTCCCCAGTGATGACTACATTCTAATCCCTGGAGTCTGTGACTATGTATGTTATAGGGGAAGGGACTGAAGGGGAAGATGGAGCTCATGGGGAGACAGCCTGGACTGTCCCACTGGGCTCAGTGTAATCACAAGGGTGCACATGAAAGGAGGAGGAAGAGGGGAGTGGGGATTAGAGCAGTCCAGTGGAAGTCTTCACCAGCTTTGAAGGTGGAGGAAGGCCAAGAGCCATGAATGCAGGTGGCCTATAGAGGCTGGAAAAGTCAAGGAACTGATTCTCCAGAGTCTCCAGAGGGAACAAAGCCCTGCAGATGCCTTGATTTTAGCCCAGGAAAAATAGGGTCCAATTTCTGTCTCCAGTACTGGAAGGTGTCAGTGTGGTCTCTCCTGCTTCCATGCTTCTGATAATTTTGTACAGCAGCAACAGGAAACCAACACTGGAACCCAGGTCAAGGACAAGTTAAGAAACAACCCAAGGAAAGCCAGGCATGGTGGCAGGTGCATGTAATCCTAGCGACTCAGGAGGCTGAGGGCAGGAGAATCACTTGAACCCAGGAAACAGAGGTTGCAGTGAGCCTAGACCACACCACTTCACTCCAGCCTGGGTGAAGGAGTGAGACTCTGTCTCCAAAATTAATTAATTAATTAAAGAAACCAAAGAAGGAGAAGGTTGGCTACCCTGAGATCAGCAAGGGTGGGATGATGATGCCACCACCAGGCTCCATCCACATAGGGAGGGGTTGATACTCCTCCAACCAGCACCAGGAGCCAGCCTATGGAAGCTGGCACCATGGAGAAGGCACAGGCATGGCAAGAGTGGCTCCCAGTCCCCACCAGGAACAGGGTGTGTGGACACTGGTGCCTGCCTTATTCATCAGTTCATATCTTCTGCCAAGGATTGCAATTCATCCAAAAGAGATTGAACCAGGCTGATAAGAGCCTGGATGTGCAGCCTATCCTGGTTCCTCTTTCACCCCCACATAAACAGCAGGAAAGACATTAGTGTGAAATAGATACAACACCCCAAGAGATGAGGCTAAGCCCAGTGGGAAGGGAATCAGAGGCTACTAGAGACAGAGGGACAGAGAAGAGGGAGGGAGACAGATGGAAGGACCTGCACCAGGAGTTAAGGGCACAGAAAAGAACATGAAGACACAGAGAGGAAGGAGAGAGACAGACACCAGCAAGGGGAAGCCTCACTCATTCTAGGTGCCATGGATGGGATGATAAAGAGAGACACCTTCTAAACTCACAACCTCTCTTCCTAGGAGTCCACAGAAAACCTTCCCTCCTGGCCCACCCAGGTCGCCTGGTGAAATCAGAAGAGACAGTCATCCTGCAATGTTGGTCAGATGTCAGGTTTGAGCACTTCCTTCTGCACAGAGAAGGGAAGTTTAAGGACACTTTGCACCTCATTGGAGAGCACCATGATGGGGTCTCCAAAGCCAACTTCTCCATCGGTCCCATGATGCAAGACCTTGCAGGGACCTACAGATGCTACGGTTCTGTTACTCACTCCCCCTATCAGTTGTCAGCTCCCAGTGACCCTCTGGACATCGTCATCACAGGTGAGAGTGTCCGGACATTCTCATTGTCATTGGGCTGCAGAGTGAATGATCCACGACTTGGAACCCCCAGGTAGTTGTAAGGAAGATGAGCTTGGTATTCTTATGGAGAGAGACTGACTTGCTGAGGTTTGTACCAACAGAGACAGAGAAACAGGAGACACAAGTACAGACCAGGTGTCATAACGGAGGACAGACACAGGGGCCATACAGGGAGTTAGAAAAGACAGAAAGAGTTAAAAGAGACAGACAGACAGACATGTCCCAGAGAGAGGTGTCCCTCCATGCTGACTTTGCTCACAGACCTGGCACAGGTTAGAAGTTTCATTTCTGTTTTACCTCCACAAAGTGTTCTCTACCAGGAGAACCCAAGGACACCCATATTTCTGACCTGAGTTGGGCCCTGTGGCCTCAGGCCTTGTGGCACCTACAGGCCATGTTTATTCTGACACCTCTGCCTTCCATGTAATGGAGAGTAACCGTCCCAGGATATCATGGCCCCAGAACACCAACCCCTGTATGCTGTGTGAACTTGTGGTCTCCAGACTGGATTCTGAGGCTCACATTCCAAATAACCCCACATATGAAAGGATCACTGAGAGGCACAGAGAAAAATCAGGAACACCAAAAAGCAAAGACATAAACACACGGAGAATGAGCCAGAGGAAGGAGATTGAGAGACTCACAGACACATAAAGAGAGAGAAAAGAGGGCAGAGGAGTGGTGAGAATGATGGCAGGGAGCAGAGAAAAGCACTAAAATTAGAGTCCTGAGAGAGAGGCACAAGGACATAGAAACATGGAGATGTGGGGATGAATTGCAGAGATTCCAAAGAGAGCTAGAGAGACCGAGAGGCAGAGCAATACAGATGATAGATGGATAGATATAGATAGATGATAAATAGGTAGATGATAGATAATAGGTTAAAGATACATAGATGATGATTGATTGATTCATTAATAGATAATACATAGAGATGATGATGATGAAGACAGATAATACGTACAGATAGAGAGGCAGACAGAAATCATAGAGAGAGAGATGATACATACATATAAATAACAGATGATTGATGGATAGATAGACAACTGATAGATACATAGATGATATATAGATATAGATGACAGGTAGAGAATTTGTAGATAGGCACCGAATAGATAAATAGATAGATCGACAGATAATAGATAGAAATATGCAGAAAGTTATGAACAGGACACAACGTGAGAAACTTAGAATTTAAAAAAGTAACATCAAGTCAACCAATCCAAGGAGAGTCAGAGAGAATAAAACAATCCAAAAACGGAAAACATATCTAGAGGTGGGGAAGCGAGGTCAGAGACCTAGAGAGACAGAGAAGGTGGAAGAAGGAAATAGACATGAAGAGAGATGGGGTGGAGGGTGAGAGAGAGAGAGAGAGAGCATTAGGTCATAGAGCAGGGGAGTGAGTTCTCAGCTCAGGTGAAGGGAGCTGTGACAAGGAAGATCCTCCCTGAGGAAAATGCCTCTTCTCCTTCCAGGTCTATATGAGAAACCTTCTCTCTCAGCCCAGCCGGGCCCCACGGTTCTGGCAGGAGAGAGCGTGACCTTGTCCTGCAGCTCCCGGAGCTCCTATGACATGTACCATCTATCCAGGGAGGGGGAGGCCCATGAATGTAGGTTCTCTGCAGGGCCCAAGGTCAACGGAACATTCCAGGCCGACTTTCCTCTGGGCCCTGCCACCCACGGAGGAACCTACAGATGCTTCGGCTCTTTCCGTGACTCTCCATACGAGTGGTCAAACTCGAGTGACCCACTGCTTGTTTCTGTCACAGGTGAGGAAACCCCATATCTGTCTCATGTCCTATGATCCTAGAGCCTTAGCTGAGGAGCTTCCTGCTGATGATGGAGATAAGCATGGACAGATGCAGAGAGAAGACGAAGCTTGGGTGTGAGGGAGGGATCAGGGCACAGGATGGCAGACAGGGCACCTCCAAACCCTCCTACACGGCCTGCATGAAGGCCCGCGGCCAGGGCTCCAGGCACACAGGCAGATGGAGAAAGCGGTCAGGAGAGACCCAGAGGAGGGAGACTGGGCTCAGTTTGGGAAGATCAGAGGTTCCCTCAGCCCCTCAACATTACCCATTTCCCAGAAGCCCATCCTGGCCTCTCACCCACACAGGGATGTCATCACCAGCAACCCCTACACCCTTTACTTTTGTTTGAAGAAATATTTATTGAGGATAAATATACCTATATAGCTTACCACCTTTAACATTTTTTTTTTTTTTGAGGCAGAGTCTAGCTCTGTCCCCTATGCTGCAGTGCAGTGGCACAATCTCAGCTCACTGCAACTTCCGCCTCCTGGGTTCAAGTGATTCTCCTGCCTCAGCCACCTGAGTAGCTGGTGCTACAGGCGCGCACCACCACGCCAGGCTACTTTTTGTATTTTTAGTAGAGAGGTGGTTTCACCATGTTGGTCGAGCTGGTCTCCAACTCCTGACCACGTGATCCACCCGCATCTGCCTCCCAAAGTGCTGGGATTACAGGCATGAGCCACCACTCCCAGCCACATTTACCATTTTTAAGTGTAAAGTCTAGTGGTCATAAATACATTTATAAATATATATATATATATATATGTATGTATATATATATACACACACATATATATACATATATATATGTGTATATATATATATATATATATATATATATATATATTTTTTTTTTTTTTTACCCTCCACCCTTTTCTTCCTGGCCTCTGGAAGCCACCATTCTACTCTCTACCTTCATGAGATCCACCTTTTAGCTCTGTATATGGGTGAGAAATGGGAATCTTTGTAATGACTTCCAGTTCCATCCATGTGGCTGCAAATATCAGGATGTTATTCTTTCTATGGATGAGTAGTCTCCACTGTGCGTATGTACTACATTCTCTCTATCCATTCATCCACTGATGGGCAGGTAGGTTGACTCCACATCTTGGCTACTGTGAACAGTGCTGCACCAATCATACGAGTGCAGATATCACTTCGATATATTGATTTACTTTCCTTTGGATATAAACCCAGTAGTGAAATTGCTGGATACTATGAAAGTTCTCTTTTTAGTTATTCGTTTGTTGTTTTGTTTTTGTTTTTGAGACAGTTTCCCTCTGTGCCCAGGCTGGAGTACAAGTGATGTCATCTTGGCTCATTGCAACCTCTGCCTCCTGGGTTCAAATGATTTTCCTACCTCAGCCTCCCTAGTAGCTGGGATTACAGGTGCACGCCACCATGCCTGGCTACTTTTTGGTTTTTTTAGTATAGATGGGGTTTCCCCATGTTGGCTGGGCTGCTCTCAAACTCATGACCTCAACTGAGGTGTCCGCCTCGGTCTCCCAAAGTGCCGGGATTACAGGCATGATCCACCTCACCCAACCTCTTTTTAGTTCTTTAAAGGACTTCCACACTTTTCTCCGTAAAGGCTGTACTAATTTACACTCCTACCAACAGGGTATTAGGGTTCTCCTTTCTCTACCACTTTGGCAGGATTTCCTTTGCCTGTCTTGCAGCTAAAAGCCATTTTACTTTATTTCATTTTATTTTGAGATGGAGTTTCGCTCTTGTCACCCAGGCTGGAGTGCAGTGGTGCGATCTCGGCTCACCACAACCTCCACCTCCCAGGTTCAAGCGATTCTCCTGCCTCAGCCTCCCGAGTAGCTGGAATTACAGGCACACGCCACCACGCCCGACTAATTTTTGTATTTTTAGTAGAGACAGTGTTTCTCCATGTGGGTCAGACTGGTCTCAAACTCCCGACCTTATGAGATTCACCCACCTCAGGCTCTCAAAGATCTAGGATGACAGACGTGAGCCACCACGCCCGGCCTAAAAGCCATTTTAATGGGGTGAGATGAAAACTCACTTTGATTTTAATTTGCGTTTCTCTGATGATGAGTGATACTGAGCAGTTTTTCGTATGTGGGGAAATTTCATGTCTTTTGCTCCTGTTTCAATTAAATCATTTGTTTTATTGAGTTGTTTGAGCTTCTTATATTTCTAGTTATTAATCCCATCTCAGATGCATAGTTTGCACATATTTGCTCCCAATCTGTGGGTTGTCTCTTCACTTTGTTGGTTTATTTTTAGCGGTGCAGAAGTTGCTTAGCTTGAGGTAATCCCAATGGTCTATTTTTGCTTCGATTACTTGTGTTTTGAAGGTTTAAAACAAAATGTCTTCCTTCAGACAAATGTCCTGGAGCATTTCCCCAATATTTTCTTCTACGTGTTTCATAGGTTCAGGCCTTAGACTCACATCTTTAATCCATTTTCATTTGATTTTTGTGTATGGTGACAGGTAGAGGTGCAGTTTCATTCCTCTGCATGTAGATGTCCAGGTTTCCCTGCACTGTTTATTGAAAAGACTGTCCTTTCCTGATTGTGAGTTCTTGGCACCTTTGTCAAAGTCCATTGGATGGGCTGGGCATGGTGACTGACACCTGCAATTTCAGCACTTTGGGAGCCCAAGGCGGGTGGATCACCTGAGGCCAGGAGTTCAAGATTAGTCTGGCCGACGTGATGAAACATTGTCTCCACTAAAAATATATAAATTAGCTGAGCATGGTGGTCAGCACCTATAATACCACTACTCAGGAGTTTGAGGCCAGAGAATTGATTGAACCCAGGAGGCTGTGGTGGCAGTGAACCGAGATTGCACCTCTGCACTCCAGCCTGGGTGACAGAGCGAGACTCCATCTCAAAAGAAAAAAGAAAAAAACATTGGATGTAAATGCATGGATTATATTTGTGTTGTTCATTCTGCTCCATTGTTCTATGTGCCTTTCTTCATGCCAACATCATGCTGTCTTGCTTACTACAGCTCTGTAACATATTTTGAGATCAGGTAGTGTGATGCTCCTGTTTTCTCTTTATACCTTGAAGTCTCAAGACAATGGGCGTCACATACAAAAATTATGGAAAAAAGGATCCCAGGACTCCCAGGGCCCAATATTAGATAACAGAGTGTTGGCCATGAACCAACCTCAAAGATTTCCATTGAGTAGAGGACAGACACCCTCATTTCCTCACCTCTCTCCTGTCTCATGTTCTAGGAAACCCTTCAAATAGTTGGCCTTCACCCACTGAACCAAGCTCTAAAACCGGTGAGTACAGAACCCTCTTATATCCGCTTTTGGAAACCTGGGGAGGTAGAAACCTTCGATGCAGGCATTGACTCAGCATCTCGCAGCTCTGACATTGTACGCCTGTCTTCTACCATCTCCGAACTCCAGATACTCCAACAGCGAAAGGGATCTGGGCCCAACCTAGGGCTCAGTGAAATCTCTTAATCTCTCATTTTATGGAGCTGAGACCTCCTACAAGCTAGAAGAATGATTGCCAATCTGACATCCTTCTCAGGAAAAATGCAATGTTTGTTCTGCCTGCATTCCTAACTGGAGGATAAATTCCTGGGGGCTTGAGAGAGGGAAGGGAAGGGAACATCTGATGAGGGCGAGGTGTTTTAGAGAAGTTCCACTTGCCAAGGAATGAATTACTGTTGGTCATGAAGCAACCCTGGCTGACTCAGCAGAGCAACAGCCTTGCCGTAACAGAGAACGGAGCTCATGCACGCACACTTCGACTCACTGACTCATTCAGCCACGGCCCCATGCTCAGGCTGTGCAGTGCGGAACCTTTTCCTATTGTTGCCATAACAAATTTCCACAAGATTCGTGGGTGAAAACAAAACGGTTTTTTAATTATCTTACAGTGCTGTAGCTCAAAGTAGGAAGTGCATCTTACTGGGCTAAAATCAAGGTGACAGCAAGGCTGCCTTCCCTCTGAGGATTCCAGGCAAGAATCTGCTTCTCACTTGTCCCAGCTTCTAAAGGCTCCCAGTTCCTTGGCTCCTGGTCCCCTTCCTCCTTCCTCAAAACCCACAAAGACTGGTCACATCTCACATGGCATCACTCAGTGCCTTCTTCCTTACCACACCTCTTTCTCTGAATGCTGCTCTCCCTTCTTCCTTATCTTTTGAAAACTTGGGGATTCTATTGGGTTCACCAAGATGAAAATCCCTCATAATCTCCTGGAAATCATCCAGGATACCCTTGTTTTAAGTTCAGCTGATTAGCAACCGTAATTCCATCTACAATCTTCATTCCTCCTTTCCATGTAAAATAACATATTCACAAGGTATGGAGGCTAGGACAGGGACATTTTGGGGTGGGACAGCATTCTCCTGCCTTCCACAAACAGTGAACAAGATGCATTTGGCCTCTGCCCTTGGGACACTGATATTGCAGATGGTTAAATGGGAGGGCAGAAAATGAATGCACAAGTGGATCTATAAATGAATGATCCATTGGGAAGCATCTGTGCATGAAATCTATTTTTTGTTTGTTCTTTTGTTTATTGAGACAGAGTTGCCCTCTGTCTTCCAGGCTACAGTGCAGTGTCACGATCTTGGCTCACTGCAACCTGCTTCTCCTGGATTCAAGTGATTCTCCTGCCTCCGCCTCTCGAGTAGCTGGGATTACAGGCAACTGCCACCGTGCCCGGCTAATTCTTTTTGTATATTTTTTGTAGAGAGGATGTTTCACCACGTTGGCCAAGCTTGTCTGAAACTCCCAACCTCAAGTGATCCGACCGTCTCAGCATGCCAAAGTAATGGGACTACAGGCGTGAGCCACTGTGCCCAGCCAGAATTCAAAATCAATAATAGATAATGCTGAGTGTATGATTTCAGGTGACAAAGAAGGTCTCACTATTCAGATATTTGTGACATTAATGAAAAACACGGATTGAACCCCTGAAAGATTGGCGGAAGGATTTTGCACACACAGCTGTCAGCCGTGAAGGCACAAAGGTGAAAACAATCTGATGTGGAAGGAAGAGGCTCTTCCTCAAATGCTGGGAATGATGTGGGGAGAATGACAAGATGACTGTGGAGAGACGGAGAGCACACTGGGTACACAGGAAACTAAGGAGGAACAAGGAGTGTGTGTTTGACACTCACAGCCATTGGATTCACCTCGGGGTAGCCAGGAATCCCTACATGATTAATATGACTGACATGAAAATAAGGGAGGCTCAGTTGCATAACTGGAATCTAGGAGACCGTGGAAAAGGCAATTGCCGCCCCACTGGTGAAATGTGGTGCTGATTTAGACACTAAATGAATGAAGTAGATGGATATAAGATAGGTTTGTGAGGTAGAATCATTGACTGGAAAGGCTTGCTGGGTTTGATTTTCCTACTTGTTTAATCCTCGCTTAATTAATTTCTTTCTGAGATTTATTCATCCTACACATAAATCAATACCTGGCAAAGGAGTGACAGATATATGAGGGGTGGTGGAAATGAAGAGACCTATTATAGCATAATATACAAGTCTGTGAACGGTGGCTCACGCCTGTAACCCAGCACTGCAGGAGGCCAAGGCGGGTGGATCACATGAAGTCAGCAGTTCGAGACCAGCCTGGCCAACATGGTGAAACCCTGTCTCTAGGAAAAACACAAAAATTAGCCGAGCATGGTGGTGCATCCCTGTAATCCCAGCTCCTACTCTGGAGGATGAAGCAGGAGAATGACTTCAACCCAGGAGGTGGAGGTTGCAGTGAGTGGAGGTTGCATCACTGCACTCCAGCCTGGGTGGCACAAGGAGACTCCGTCTCAAAAAATAAAAATAAGAAATGCATAAATATAAATATAATATAACACACGCAAATGACAAAGGGACCTGAATTCCAATCATGATTTTTCTATTTCTCTATAATTACTTCTTTGATCCTTTATCTTATCCATTAGGCAATGAGCCTAAAACCTCTTCCCTATTTGGCTTTCTGTGAGCATGAGATCATATAGAAAATGTGAAAGTCCGCTGAATCCTCCAGCACAGATCCTGGAATAGAGAAAGTGCTCTGGTCATCACAAAAAAAACTTGCCCACTCACCCAAATCCCCCACCTCACCCCTACTTCCAATCACCTGTGGAGATTCAGGTAGACCATGGGGAGGTAAACATTAACACTCCTTGGAGTGAGTCCAGATCTTGGAATCAGAGATCAGCGACAGCACTAGCTCCTGCTCCCCTTTCCTACTAATTCACAGGAGGACAGGTGGTATTGAAGCAATAGATGGCCGAGGGGGTGGTCCTTCCCCCAGCCTCTCGGGTAGAACAGCAGCCTAATATGTGTCTCCCGAGATCACAAAGAGCAGCAGGTTTCACACGGGCTTCAACACTATTTCCTGGCCGTTTGACATAAGAGAATTCTATTTCGCTTTTTTTATCTTGATTTCACTTTTGTTTTCTTTCCTTGGAGAATGCAAGTTGTTTGATTCAAGAATGCTGTGGATGTAGAAACCCTAAGGCACATTCGCTGTGAATCAATCCCAGTCCAGTCTTCCCAGAGAAGACTCTAAACACCTCCTGGACTGCACCTGGGCCTATGCCAATTCCTATCACTCACCGTCACTCCAGGGAGACAGAACACACAGAGAATACGTTACATAGGCAGGTTCATTACTAACAGATAAGCAGCGAGTGACAACAGAAACCTATATTTCAATGTGAGCCAGTCCCTCAAGGCTCAGAAAAGCTCCTCGGGACATATGGAGTCACCCCATTTGCAGTGTAGCTGCGGGAAGCCAGAAAGCAGCCCAGCCTGGGTTTTGTACCCTGGAGCCACAGGAAGCACTCAGCTAAAGCACTGCATGACGTCCTCCAGGAAGAACAGGAAGACAGCCCAGGGTGTTCTGAGACGTTCCTCCTGATCTCAGGAAGTTGCTGTCTTAGGCCATTTTTGTTGCTCTAAAGGAACACTTGAGCCTCGGTAACTTCTAAAGAAAAGAGATTGGTTTGCCTCACCGTTCTGCAGGCTGTACTGGAAGCATGGCACCAGCATCTATTTCTCGTGACGGCCTCAGGCTGCTCCCACTCTGGCAGAAGGGAAGGAGGGTCTGTCTGTGCAGAGACCACAGAGATCACACGGCAAGAGAGGGAGCAAGGGGGAGGGGGAGTGATGGAGCTTCCAAGCTCTTTTTAACAACCAGCTCTCCGGGAACTAATAGAGGGGGAACTTGCTAACCCCGTCTCCTTGGGACAGCATTGATGTGTTCATGATGGATCCACCTCCATGACCCAAACACCTCTCAAGAGGCCCAACCTCCCACAGTGGGGGTGAAATTTCAATGTGAGGTTTGAAGGGGTCAAACATCTCAACTAAAGTAGTCGTATCCTCAGCACGTTCTATGGTTACTATGAGAGCTATAACTGAAAAAGCAGGAGAAAGCTGGGTCTCCTGCCATCTGGGTGCTTGTCCTAAAGAGATGTTTTATGTGGTTACCTGTCAATCAAGAAATGCGAGACAATTCATAAAGAGGAACTGCTAAGATTAGCTTCTTATTGGTGTCTCATCTTCTTCCAGGTAACCCCCGACACCTGCACATTCTGATTGGGACCTCAGTGGTCATCATCCTCTTCATCCTCCTCTTCTTTCTCCTTCATCGCTGGTGCTCCAACAAAAAAAGTAAGTCTCACGAAGCAGAGGCCAGAGAGCTCAGGGCCATGTGGGGAAGCAGGATGGGAGCACTCAGGTGTGTGTTCCTCACAAACAGGATGGTCCCTGGCCCAAGGCAGCAGCCACAGAGGCAGGACTTTCTAGAGAGGGCACCAGACTCCCTGCCCCTGCCTTCAACTCACAGACCGTTGCCTGATTCTGAACTGTATCCTCATGTCCCCTGCAGCCACTCACATCCAGGAGAAGGTTCCATGACAGGCAGAAAGTGGGAGACAGAATCAATGGGATGGGAACTCAGAGCTATTCATGGGATGGGTCCTTGAGCTCAGAGAGATAGAATGTCTGAGTCTGCTGTTGGCAACTGAGGGACCTCAGCCACCTATGGTCTCCCCCTGTATGTTGGTATCTGCTTATGAAATGAGGACCCAGAAGTGCCCTCCGAGCTGTTTTGTTGACTTCCGTCTCCTACAGATGCTGCGGTAATGGACCAAGAGTCTGCAGGGAACAGAACAGCGAATAGCGAGGTAGGTACTCCTCGGCCCGGGCTCGTGGCTACTGTTATTCCCAAAGAGTCCTGGAAAATGTGAGCACCCTCCCTCACTCAGCATTTCCCTCTCTCCAGGACTCTGATGAACAAGACCCTCAGGAGGTGACATACACACAGTTGAATCACTGCGTTTTCACACAGAGAAAAATCACTCGCCCTTCTCAGAGGCCCAAGACACCCCCAACAGATATCATCGTGTACACGGAACTTCCAAATGCTGAGTCCAGATCCAAAGTTGTCTCCTGCCCATGAGCACCACAGTCAGGCCTTGAGGGCGTCTTCTAGGGAGACAACAGCCCTGTCTCAAAACCGGGTTGCCAGCTCCCATGTACCAGCAGCTGGAATCTGAAGGCATGAGTCTGCATCTTAGGGCATCGCTCTTCCTCACACCACAAATCTGAATGTGCCTCTCACTTGCTTACAAATGTCTAAGGTCCCCACTGCCTGCTGGAGAAAAAACACACTCCTTTGCTTAGCCCACAGTTCTCCATTTCACTTGACCCCTGCCCACCTCTCCAACCTAACTGGCTTACTTCCTAGTCTACTTGAGGCTGCAATCACACTGAGGAACTCACAATTCCAAACATACAAGAGGCTCCCTCTTAACGCAGCACTTAGACACGTGTTGTTCCACCTTCCCTCATGCTGTTCCACCTCCCCTCAGACTAGCTTTCAGTCTTCTGTCAGCAGTAAAACTTATATATTTTTTAAAATAACTTCAATGTAGTTTTCCATCCTTCAAATAAACATGTCTGCCCCCATGGTTTCGGTAATGGGACTCTTTTCTTGCCTAAGGCTTCCGGTGTTATCAGTACCATGTCCATATAATCCCATCTGTTCCCCACTGAGTTCTCATCCCCGGACTCTGAGTTTCTGGAAGCAGGGTGGAGCCTCATTTGTCTCTGAGACTCCAATTTCCATCCAAAGATGTAGCACATAGGAGGTTCCAAGGATCACGAATCATATGAACAAGTGATACTCTTACTCTCTGCAGACCTGGAAAGCTGGCAGAGTCATTCCACAATGAAACATTTGTAGAATCATAGGCCTTGTTAGTCTCATCTCCATGGGGACACATATCAACACATCATCTTTCATAATATAAATATACGGTCACTCCTCCATATCTGCGGGGTTTACAGGTGTTTATTGAACCAAGTATAAATCAAAAATATTGAGAGAAAGTATCCACAGAGTTTCAAAAAGCATAACTATGTTGAATGGACACAAATGAAGCTGTGTGTAGGCTGTATCAGGAATTATAAGTAATCTAGAGATGATTTCATGTATACAGGAGGATGTGCATAGGTTATTTGCAAACTCTGTGCCATTTCATATAAGAGGCTTGAGCATCTACAGATTTTGGTATCTGAGTGGAGATCTCAAAACCAATCACCCACGAATAGTGAAGGATGACCGTATATGACTTTTATTTCTCAAATTTAAATATAAATCATAAAAAATGTACAACTAGATAAAAACTAAGAAGTGTTTTTATAGTGTGAGTTAGATTTATTTTTTCCTAGGTGTAACCAATTGGTTTAATATTATTTATTGAGAAGACATTCTATGCCACCTTAAACCACACGGCAGCCTTTGTCAACTCTAAAGGGACTGTGTGTACATGGATGTATTTTAGACACTGTTTCTGCTAAGGGGCTCTCTGTGTCCACACTCTTGATGATGCTGCACTTTATGTAGCCTTATAGAACCCTTTAAATTTAGTAGCCAGAGCCCTCTAATTTGTTATTATAGGCTGTTTGCTTTTTTTTTCTTGAGGCGGAGTCTTGCTCTGTCGCCCAGGCTGGACTGCAGTGACACAATCTCAGCTCACTGCAACCTCCGCCTCCCAGGTTCAAGCGATTCTCGTGCCTCAGCCTCTTGAGCAGCTGGCGTTACAGGTGCCTGCCACCAGGCACGGCTAATTTTTGGATTTTTAACAGAGACACGGTTTCACTATATTGGCCAAGCTGCTCTCAAACTCCTTATCTCAGTTGATCCGCCCACCTCGGCTTCCCAACGTGCTGGGGAAAACTTGATTTTCTATAGCATTATGTTACTGGATATTTCTGTAAAATTTAAAACGAGGGAGGGAGAGAGACAGACAGAGAGCAAACTCCAGAGTTGGGACTCTGGAATCTTGGGTCATGAGACAAATTTTAGATTAAACTACAAAACTCCAGAATTTACAGGTGTGGTTTTTGCTGATAAAGTACAATTCTAAGATTGTAAATAATTGCATAATCCTTCCCTGGGAATTTAAATCATTTTAGCTGGTTCTGCTGTAATACTAGAAATACAAGCATGAAAAATTCTAATGGTTTATTAGTCACAATGACTCCGAAAACATTAATAATACCTATTAGATACTTTGCATATTACACAGGAAGAAGAGTTTGAATCTCAGATAAAAACAAAAAAAATACATGAAAAGTCTTTCATGTTAGCACAGATTTTAGGCATCTCGTGTTCGGATAAAAATACATGAAAAGTCTTTCACGTTAGCACAGATTTTAGGCATCTTGTGTTCGGGAGGTTGGATCTGAGACGTGTTGTGAGTTGGTCATAGTGAAGGACGTGAGGTGCCAATTCTAGTGAGAACAATTTCCAGGAAGCCGTGTTCCGCTCTTGAGCAAGCATCCACTGGGCCTCATGCAAGGTAGAAAGAGCCTGCGTACGTCACCCTCCCATGATGTAGTCAACATGTAAGCTGCATGGGCAGGGCGCCAAATAACATCCTGTGCGCTGCTGAGCTGAGCTGGGGCGCGGCTGCCTGTCTGCACCGGCAGCACCATGTCGCTCATGGTCGTCAGCATGGCGTGTGTTGGTGAGTCCTGGAAAGGAATAGAGGGAGGGAGCGCGGGGATGGAGATCTGGGCCCAGAGGTGGAGATATAGGCCTGGAGGTGGAGTTATGGGCCTGGAGTGGAGATCTGGGCCTGGAGTGGATATATGGGCCTGGAGATGGAGTGATGGGCCTAGAAGTGGAGATCTGGGTCTGGAGTGGAGATATGGGCCTGGAGGTGGAGATATGGGCCTGGAGTGGAGATCTGGGCCTGGAGTGGAGATAGGAACCTGGAGGGGAGATATGAGCCTGGAGTGAAGATATTGGCCTGGGATGGAGATATGGGCCTGGAGTGGAGACATGGGCCTGGAGGTGGAGATATGGGCCTGGAGGTGGAGACATGGGCCTAGAGGTGGATATCTGGGCCTGGAGTGGACATATGGGCCTAGGATGGAGATATGGGCCTGGGTGTGGAGATATGGGCTTGGGGTGGAGATATGGGCCTGGATTGGAGATATGGGTCTAGGGTGGAAATATTGGCCTGGAGTGGAGATATGGGCCTGGAGTGGAGATATGGGCCTGGAGTGGAGATATGGGCTTGGGGTGGGGATAGGGGCCTGGGGTGCGGATATGGGCCTGCAGGCTGGGTCTCTACACAGCCGACAGCCCTGTTCTTGGGTGCAGGCTGGCACTGAGGGTGAGTTTCCCTTCAGCCCAGCAAGGGCCTGGCTACCAAGACTCACAGCCCAGTGGGGGCAGCAAGGGAGTCCTGGTTTGCCTGCAGATGGATGGTCCATCATGATCTTTCTTTCCAGGGTTCTTCTTGCTGCAGGGGGCCTGGCCACATGAGGGTGAGTCCTTCTCCAAACCTTAGGGTGTCATCTCCCCACATAAGAGGATTTTCCTGAAACAGGAGGGAAGCCCGGTGGGGGATTTTCTTATAAACAAGGATGAGGAGACCCTGGGGTGCTCAGCCCACAGTTCCGACCTTGCCCTCCCCAGCCTTCCTTTCCCTTGGCTGAGTCAGGTTCTGTGGGAACCCGGGAGGGTAGACTGGGGTCCTCCAAGCTGGGCTGTGCGGCTGGGATGTGGTGTCACTGGCAGAGGAAGGGAGCAAAGCAGTGCTAGGAACAGCAGGCCTCTGAGGACAAAGGTGTAACTCACACCCTCCAGCGTTTCCATGACGGTAGGGGCTGCAGTGTGGCTGCTGTCATTCTACCTCAGAGGTGGGGGAACCCCAGCCAGGGCCCTGACCTTCCAAATCCTCTGTTGGGGGCTCAGTTGTGTATTGTGGTTCACACATTGGCTGATATTCCATTCACAAAGAACATGCCCTCGACCCCATGTCTATTTGTGTTGTTTTATGTGAGTAATCTTGCAGGATTAAAATCTAGTAGGAGTCCCTTACTCAGCACTTGCTCAAAGTTCTCAGCTGACACTTTTGTTGTAGAGAGACGCCAAGTCTATGCGGGATGGGTCCTTCCTGTAGCCCTGGGCACCCAGGTGTGGTAGGAGCCTTAGAAAGTGGAAATGGGAGAATCTTCTGACACGTGGAGGGAGGGGCGGCTCCACATCCTCCTCTCTAAGGTGGCGCCTCCTTCTCCCCCAGGTGGTCAGGACAAGCCCTTCCTCTCTGCCTGGCCCAGCCCTGTGGTGTCTGAAGGAGAACATGTGGCTCTTCAGTGTCGCTCTCGTCTTGGGTTTAACGAATTCAGTCTGTCCAAAGAAGACGGGATGCCTGTCCCTGAGCTCTACAACAGAGTATTCCGAAACACCGTTTTCATAGGCCCTGTGACCCCAGCACATGCAGGGACCTACAGATGTCGGGGTTCACACCCACACTTCCTCACTGGGTGGTCAGCACCCAGCAACCCCCTGGTGATCATGGTCACAGGTCAGAGGGCTCCTGTCTGGGATTCTCCTTGTCCCACCTCCTGAGTCCCAGAGCTTCTGGTGGGAGTGTCCACCAGCGTCCCATCATCCAGACCCTAACTGTATTTGGGGTAAAAGGGGATTGAATACAGGGAAATGGGTGCTGTGGTGGAAAGAATAATTGTCCCCAATGATGACTGCATTCTAATCCCTGCAGTCTGTGACTATTTATGTTATAGGGGAAGGCACTGAAGGGGAAGATGGAGCTCAGGTTGTTGAGTTGACCTTGAGATGGGGAGACAGCCTGGACTGTCCTGCTGGGCTCAGTGTAATCACAAGGGTGCACATGAGAGGAGAAGGAAGAGGGGAGTGGCGATTAGAGCAGTGCAATGGAAGTCTCCATCAGCTTTGAAGGTGGAGGAAGGCCATGAGCCATGAATGCAGGTGGCCTATAGAGGCTGGAAAAGTCAAGGAACTGATTCTCCTGGGTCTCCAGAGGGAACGCAGCCCTGCAGATGCCTTGATTTTAGCCCTCAAAAAACAGGGTCCGATTTCTGTCTCCAGAAACGGAAGGGGTCAGTGTGCTCTCTCCTGCTGCCATGCTTCTGATAATTTTCTACAGCACCAACAGGAAACCAACACTGGAACCCAGGTCAAGGACAAGATAAGAAAGGACACAAGGATAGCCGGGCGTGGTGGCAGGTGCATGTAATCCTAGCAACTCAGGAGGCTGAGGGCAGGAGAATCACTTGAACCCAGGAGACAGAGGTTGCAGTGAGCCTAGACCACACCACTTCACTCCAGCCTGGGTGAAGGAGTGAGACTCTGACTCCAAAATTAATTAATTAATTAAAGAAACCAAACAAAGAGAAGGTTGGCTACACCGAGATCAGCAAGGGTGGGATGATGATGCCACCACCAGGCTCCATCCACATAGGGAGGGGTTGATACTCCTCAAACCAGCACCAGAAGCCAGCCTATGGAAGCTGGCACCATGGAGAAGGCACAGGCATGGCAAGAGTGGCTCCCAGTCCCCACCAGGAACAGGGTGTGTGGACACTGGTGCCTGCCTTACTGATCAGTTCATACCTTCTGCCAAGGATTCCAATTCGTCCAAAAGAGATTGAACCAGTCTGCTAAGAGCCTGGACGTGCAGCCTATCCTGGTTCCTCTTCCACCCCCACATAGAAGCAGGAAAGACATTAGTTCGAAATAGATACAACAGCCCAAGAGATGAGGCTGAGCCCAGCGGCAAGGGAATCAGGAGCTACTAGAGACAGAGGGACAGAGAAGAGGGAGGGAGACAGATGGAAGGACCTGTACCAGGAGTTATGGGCACAGAAAAGAACATGAAGACACAGAGAGGAAGGAGAGAGATAAGACACCAGCGAGGGGAAGCCTCACTCATTCTAGGTGCCATGGATGGGATGATAAAGAGAGATGCCTTCTAAAGTCACAACCTCTCTTCCTAGGAGTCCACAGAAAACCTTCCCTCCTGGCCCACCCAGGTCCCCTGGTGAAATCAGAAGAGACAGTCATCCTGCAATGTTGGTCAGATGTCATGTTTGAGCACTTCCTTCTGCACAGAGAGGGGAAGTTTAATGACACTTTGCGCCTCACTGGAGAGCTCCATGATGGGGTCTCCAAGGCCAACTTCTCCATCGGTCGCATGACGCAAGACCTTGCAGGGACCTACAGATGCTACGGTTCTGTTCCTCATTCCCCCTATCAGTTGTCAGCTCCCAGTGACCCTCTGGACATCGTGATTACAGGTGAGAGTGTCTGGACATTATTCTCATTGTCACTGGGACACAGAGTGAATGATCCACGACTTGGAGGCCCAGGTGGTTATAAGGAAGATGAGCTTGGTATTCTTATGGAGAGAGACTAATTTGGTGAGGTCTGTACCAACAGAGACAGAGAAACAGGAGACACAAGTACAGACCAGGTGTCATAACAGAGGACAGACACAGGGGCCATACAGGGAGTTAGAAAAGACAGAAAGAGTTAAAGGAGACACAGACAGACATGTGCCAGAGAGAGGTGTCCTTCCATGCTGACTTTGCTCAGAGACCTGGCACAGGTTAGAAGTTTCATTTCTGTTTTACTTCCACAAAGTGTTCTCTACCAGAAGAACCCAAGGACACCCATATTTCTGGCCTGAGTTGGGCCCTGTGGCCTCAGGCCTTCTGGCACCTACAGATGCCGTGTTTATTCTGACACCTCTGCCTTCCATGCAATGGAGAGTAATCGTCCCAGGATATCATGGCCCCAGAACATCAACCCCTGTATACTGTGTGAACTTGCGGTCCCCAGACTGGATTCTGAGGCTCACATTCCAAATAACCCCACATATGAGAGGATCACTGAGAGACACAGAGAGAAATCAGGGACACCAAAAAGCAAAGACATAAACACACAGAGAATGAGCCAGAGGAAGGAGATTGAGAGACTCACAGACACATAAAGAGGGAGAAAAGAGGGCAGAGAAGTGGAGAGAACAATGGAAGGGAACAGAGAAAAGCACTAAAATTAGAGTCCTGAGGGAGAGGCACAAGGACATAGAAAGATGGAGATGTGGGGATGAATTGCAGAGATTCCAAAGAGAACTAGAGAGACCGAGAGGCAGAGCAAGACAGATGATAGATGGATAGATATAGATAGATGATAAATAGGTAGATGATAGATAATAGGTTATAGATACATAGATGATGATCGATTCATTCATTGATTAATCGATGATACATAGAGATGATGAAGATGAAGATAGATAGATAATACATAGAGATAGAGAGGCAGACAAAGAGAAATCATAGAGAGAGAGAGATGATACATAGATATAGATAATAGATGATTTTTGGATAGACAATTGATAGATAAATAGATTATATATAGATATAGATGACAGGTAGAGAATTTGTAGATAGGCACCAGATAGATAAATAGATATATCGATAGATAATAGATAGAAATATGCAGAAAGTTATGAACAGGACACAAAGTGAGAAACTCAGAATTTAAAAAAAGTAACATCAAGTCAACTAGTCCAAGGAGAGTCAGAGAGAATAAAACAATCCAAAAAGGGAAAACATATCTAGAGGTGAGAAAGTGAGGTCAGAGACCTAGAGAGACAGAGAAGGTGGAAAGAGGAAATAGACATAAAGAGAGATGGTGTGGAGGGTGAGACAGAGAGAGAGAGCATTAGGCCATAGAGCAGGGGAGTGAGTTCTCAGCTCAGGTGGGAGGGGAGTTGTGACAAGGAAGAACCTCCCTGAGGAAACTGCCTCTTCTCCTTCCAGGTCTATGTGGGAAACCTTCTCTCTCAGCCCAGCCGCGCCCCATGGTTAAGGCAGGAGAGAGCGTGACCTTGTCCTGCAGCTCCCGGAGCTCCTATGACATCTACCATCTATCAAGGGAGGGGGAGGCTCATGAACTTAGGTTCCCTGCAGTGCCCAAGGTCAATGGAACCTTCCAGGCCAACTTTCCTCTGGGCCCTGCCACCCACGGAGGGACCTACAGATGCTTCGGCTCTTTCCGTGACTCTCCCTACGAGTGGTCAGACCTTAGTGACCCACTGCTTGTTTCTGTCACAGGTGAGGAAACCAGTCTGTTCCCCAAATAGTGGGACTCAGATGGACTACAATGGCCACATTCAGGGGAGCCTCAGATGGAGGGGGTGGCCATGGGGGTGTCAGCCAGAGATGCTGGACAGAAGAGACACAAAGCAAACATACAGAAAGAGGCATAGACAGACAGACAGAGCGAGGCAGACAGATCACATTAGGGTTTGGGGTGGTAACTGCAACCCTACCTGAAGCTTGCAGATAGAGCACAGGCCACATAAACCACTTCCCAGTCTTTGTACAGAAGCCCACCTGGGACACATGTAAACAGCATCAATGCTGACTCAGGAGCATGAAAGGCCGGGCTCAGATTGGAAAGACTAGAGGTAGCATTGGCCGCCCGCCATTGCCCATTTCCAGAAGCCCCCACCTCTCACCAAAGAGTGATTTCCACATGGGGGGCACAGATGCAACCATCGTTGGGGGAGCCCCAATGTCTCTTGATGGGAGGCATTTTCCACCCTAGATGTTTTTTGCTCTCTCCACACCTTGGAGACTCAGTGGGGGAGTCTTCTCTGGGGACTCGGGGAGGGCCTCCCTGGGACTCGCAGGATTTCCAAGCTAGATGACAACATGACAGGTGGAAACAGGCCCATTCCTTCGCCAGGGGCCCCAAGCTCCATCCCAGGAGATGAGAAGAGGCTCTTCTCATTGGTCAGTGGATCCCTGAGGGGACAGAGGCTCAGCACTGAAGGCTGAGAAGGATCTGCCACTTCGCTCAGTGGCCTCAAGCCAGACATCTTCCCTACAGACTTGCAGTGATTCTCCATCAGCATTTAGGGCTGTGGCCACCAACCTGGGTGTTGGTCTGTAGGAACTTTTCATTTCTGACCTTCCATAACTGAGTTCTCTTCCTAAATGTGGAATGCCTTGTACTCCATGTTACTCTCTCCCCAGAAAGAATGTGTGGCTTGTCTGCTCTCCAGCCCTGTCATGGAGATTGATAATCCTTAGGGAGCAAGAGGAGAGGGAAAGAACAAAGTATGAGACCACCTAGGTGCTACTGGTTGAGGTTCCATTTGCCAGTGAAGGGACTTCACTCAGCCGAGGGGGCAACTCAGGGAAGTCAGCCGAGGGAGGGCATTAGAGTAGAGAGAACTGAGCTCACCCAGTAAATGACCCCTTCACTAACTCATTCATCTAATATTTATTTCACACCTACCATCAGTTCTCTCTGTTTCATGGCCAGGAGTAGACAGCACGGCCAAGCTCCTGGGTTCATGATGCTCACATTGCTGTGGGGTGGGAGAGAGAGGCAGAACATGAATGAATGAATGAGAGAATGAATGAATGAGTGAATGATGGAATGAGTGAATGAATGAATGAATGAATGTATGAATTAGTGAGTGAATCCTTAGCACTTGGTGAAAGTGCCATGCACAGAATGAAATGAATGAACGTGGAACGTTGTCATTTGGAGTGTACAGGAGGGAACGTCTCACTGAGACCTCATCAGAGAGATCACATTTAAACTCCGATCTTAGAGACAAGAGGGAGTGAGCCCTGGGGAGTGTGTTGAAAGGAACTTTCATGGACTTAGGACATTGGGGATGACCCTAATGTGAGAATGAGCTTGGTGTGTTCCAAGAAGTCCATGGACCTGCCATATGGTGAGGGCTGGTCAGAATCCAGAGAGATTTCTAAATGCCCTTGTGCTTGTAAGGAAAGTGAGTCCTGTGGTTGGGAGTGGACTTATACCTTGGGTCAGGTCCAGCAATTATCTTTCTAAATCCTCTCTAATTGCCTGAACCACTTCTATCAACAACTGAGAAAAGAGGAGTGTTAAACACCCCACTGTGGCCGTGGATTTGCCTACCTGTCCATTTATTTCCGCGACTCTTCCTCCATGTATATTTGCAGGAATATTACTGGGAGTGGTTAAGTGTAAACTGATTATATATTCCTGGTAAATTTAAAATGCTATAAATTTACCTGCTTTTTTCCTACATTTTATGCTTAATGTTTTCCGCTGATTTTTCCCAAAGACTAATTTTGTCTAATTTTAATATAGTTATACCACATTTCTAACAGTGATTGCTTGGTATATTTCTACATTGTTTAATTTCAAACTCCATGAATTGTTAACATTGAGATGTGTCCTTTGTAAATTTCAAACAATTCGCCTTAGAAAGTAAGACTTTCTGACAATCTTTTGTTCATGTTTGAGCAGTTCTTCCAATCATATTTTTGTTATTATTACGTTGTGTTTTCCTGATTCCCTTTTTTTCCCACTGACTTCTGTGGTTTTCTATTTCAAACATTCTATTTTTGATCTATGTCGTTTAGGAATACATATATGGTGTACTCATCCTGAAGTTGTTACATATTTTTAAAATTGAAATTAATCATTTCAGAGATTAAACTGCAAATATAAAAACATATTTCCACTCTTCCTGTGTAAGAACAGGATTTTAGAGCATATTTAGTACATATGTTTGTATTTACTTATATGATGTTTTGTTTTGTGGTATACATAATTCTATCTTTTTCAGAAATTACACAGGGGCATGTTTTCATACACTATCGTATGGTCCATATTCATTTTTGGCATAGCCATATTTTTAGTTCTTCCTCTGCTCTTAGTTATTGTCAGAATCTTCGACACCCCATCTGGTTTCACTTTCTTTATCTTTGAGGCACGGTCATCAGAATTTCCTTTAGGGTCAGTGAGAAAAGCTTTCTTTGCCCTTTTGTCTTTCAGTTCTGTTTCTTTCCTGCGTTGATCTTGGACAGTAACTGTACTATGTAAGGAATTGTCGGTGGCTGGCGACGGTATCTTAGCTGGGTAAAGATGCTATTCTACTGGCTTATGTTTTCCTTTTTTCTGTGGGGAAGACAATGCTTGGCTCCCTATAAATCCTTACCAGCTGATCCTTTTCCTCTGGCTAATTTTAAGGGTTGGTTGTGCTTTTATGCTGCTTTTCTGTAATGTTGAACGTGAGGTGTGTTTACTTCATTCTGCCTGGCATTCACTGGATTTCTTGAACCTGTGGATTGATGGATGTGTCTACTTCCTCCAAATAATCAACAATTGCCTCTTTAAAGATTGCTTCTGACCTGTTTTCTCGTTCTTTCTTTTTGGAACTCAAGTTAGGAGCATTCTAAAACTGTTGTCAATTTTTACCCTGTCACAAAACTGCTCTTTCTTGTTTCAGTTATTTGCTTTTTCTGTGCATTAATATTGATGGTTTCCTCTGTCATAGAGGATAAATACTCTCTTCACTGTTGTGTACACAACATTTTAACTAGTTATTCTGGTTTAAATTTAATATTGACTTTATCTACATATCACAATTGATTACTGTGTACAGACTTTCTTTTCTATTAGTATAAATTTATGAGGTACACTTGTAATTTTGTGACATGAGTATGTTGCAGAGTAGTGAAGTCAGGACTTTTACTATATCCATCACCCAAATACCGTACATTGTACTCATTAAGCAAATTCTCATCACTCACCCACGTCCCGCCACCCTCCAGCCTTCTAGCCTCCGCTGTCCGTCATTCCACACTCTACGTCCATATGTACACATTACTCCCCTCCCATGTAGAGTGAGAAGATGTGGTATTTGTCTTTCTGAGTGGTTTTATGTAAAATAATGGCGTCCAGCTCCATCTATGTTGCTGCAAAAGACATGGTTTTATTTTTATGACCAAATAGTATTTCGTTGTGTATACACGCATCCTTTTTTTAATCCAATCATTCATTCACAGACACTTAGATTGATTTCATATCTTTGCTATTGCAAACAGTGCTGCAATAAACATACAGGTGCAGATATTTTTTGAGTAGATACCCAGCAGCGGGACCCCTAGATCGAATGGTGCTTCTATTTTTGGTTCTCTGCCAAATTTCCATACTGTCTTCCATAGAGGCTATACTAATTTACATACCGGCCAACAGTGTATAAGAGTTTCCTTTTCTCTGCATCCTTGCCAACACCTGTTATATGTTTCACTTTTTCTTTTTTTCTTTTTGAGATGGAGTCTTCCACTGTCACCCAGGCTGGAGTGCAGTGCCGCCATCTCCACGCGCTGCAACCTCCACCAACCAGGTTCAAATGATTCTCCTGCCTCAACCTCCTGAGTAGCTGGGATTACAGAACCACACCACCATGCCCAGCTAATCTTTTGTATATTTAGTAGAGATGGGGTTTCACTATGTTGGTCAGGCTGGTCTCAAACTCCTGACCTCATGATCCACCCGCCTCAGCTTCCCAAAGTGCTGGGATTACAAGCGTGAGCCACCACTCCCCACCAGCATTTTTAGTAATAGCCATTCTGACTACTGTAAGATGATATCTCATTGTGGTTTCAATTTGCATTTCTCTGATGATTAGTGATGTTCATACGCTGTTTGGCCATTCGTATGTCTTCTTTTGAAAAATGTCTATGTATATCCCTTTGCCCACTTTTTAATGCTATTATTTGAGGGGTTATGTTTAGTTGTTTGAGTTGCCTAGAAATTCTGGATGTTAGTCCCCTGTTGGGTGCATAGTTTGCAAACATTTCCATTCATTCTGTGGGTTGTCTGTTCACCCTGCTACTATTTCCTTTGCTTGGCAGAAGCTCTTTCGTTTATTAAGTCCCATTGGTCTAGTTTTATTTTTATTGCCTGTGCTTTTGAGGTCTTAGTGATGAATTCTTTGCCCAGACCAATGCCCAGAAGAGTTTCTCTTTGGGTTTCCACCGGTGATTTTATAGTTCTGGATTTACATTTAAGCTGCTAATTACCTTAAGTTAATTTATGTGTATGATTACAGATACAGGTCCAGTTTTATTCTTCTGCATATGGCTATTTAGTTTTCCCAGCACCTTTTATTGAAAAGGAAATCTTTCTCCAGGGTATGTTTTGTTAACGTCGTCAATGATTATTCACTGTAGATATGAGGCTGTATTTCTGGGCTCTCTATTCTGGTCTATTGATCTCTGTTTCTGTGTCTATACCAGCACTGTGCTATTTAAGTTACTATAGCCTTAGAGCATAGTTTGAAGTCAGATAGCGTGATGCCTCCAGGTTTCTACATTCACCTAGAATTGCTTTCTCTATTAGGATCTTTTTTGGTTCTGTATGAATTTTAGGATTGCTTTTTCTAATTCTGTGAAAACTGGTGTTACTATTTTCATATAAGAATTGCACTGAATCTGTAGATTGCTTTAGGCAGTATGGTCATTTTAACAATATTAATTCTTATGATCCATGAGCGTGGGATTTTTTTTCTTTTTTTTTTTTGTATTATCTATAATTGCTTTCATTGGTGTCTTACACCTTTCCTGGTACAGATCTTTCACCACCTTGGTTAAATGTATTCCTGAGTGTTTTAATTTTGCGTATCTATTGTAAACGGCATTGCCTTCTTGATTTGGTTCTCAGCTAGATCATTATAGGTGTAGAGAAATGCTACCGGCTTTTACATATTGATTTTGTATTCTGAAACTTTACTTAGTTCATTTATCAATCATAAGAATTTTTGGCAGGGTCTTTAGGATTTTCTAGATTTAAGATCATAGCATCAGAAATAAAAATAATTTTACTTCCTCTTTTCTAATTTGGATTTTTACTTCTTCCTGTTGCCCAATAGCTCTGACAAGGCTTCCAGTACTATGTTGATAGGAAGTGGTGGATGTCCGTGTCCTTGTCTTGTGCCAGTTCTCAGAGGAGTGCTTTTAACTTTTCCTGTTCAGTATGATGTTGACTCTAGATATGTCATCTATGGCTTTTATTATTTTGAGGTATGTTCTTTCTATGCCTAAGTTTTTGAGGGTTTTCATCAGGTAAGGATGTTGAATTTCTTTTCAGATGCTTTTCTTTATGTCTATTGAGATGATCATATGGTTTTTGTTCTGGATTCTGCTCGTTCTTCTAAGTGGATGAGACATGCCAGAAAAGCATTTAGTCAGCCATCTTGGAAACAAGCATCTCAGATGTTTTCTTTCTCTATAGCTCATTCTTTCTTACCAGTGTTTTCAATTTTGTACTTAATTTTGTAAAGAGAGTAAATGATATAATTTCCACATATGTTTCCTCTGCCAAATCAGACTCACTATGCTTCCTTTCCTTGTATGCATAACCTACCCAGCAATACACACAAACATTTATTGCTTTGGAGAATTAGTTTGGGAACATTTTTGAAATGTACAAAAAAATGTATATCTTCAAAAGAAATTTCTTTTTGTGGCAAAAGACTTCTGAAGGTGCTCATGATGATATAGGGAGAAGAGGGGTTCTGGACAGGAAGAATTTTATGAAGGTGAGATGGGGAAATAGCTCCATTTCAGAGCTTCTGGGGAGAGAGGGGCCTGGCCCACATGGAAAGGTCTCTGATCTTACCCCCACCCTCCAGCCCCTGTTCTCCAGAACTATACTGTGGAGAGTTCCATCAGGATTGTTGTGGCTGGTCTGGTCTTCCTGGCTCTTTTGGCAATGCTGGCTAAGACCTGGTGGAGACATGAGGGGCCACAGGTGGAAATGGAAGAAACATGACTGAAGCTGGCTGGAGTGAATGGCGCGACATTCTGTCTGTGGGAGATTGGCCAGATGGGTTTCAAGTGTGTTGTATCAGCTGTGACTTTTAGTAATGTTCTTGCTACCACAATATCCACTCGTCCATCCCGAATAATTGTGATGAAATATTGTCCTTGGGATAATATTCATTTGCTAAAGACAGGGATGATACCTCAAGGTGCCACTATATACATCGAGGGGATCCACAAAAGTCCATTCAGTAAAATGTAGTTGGCATCTTAGGGTAGGTTGATTCCACCTCTAAAAAAGTAGGTACAACATCAGGTTGATTTTTCCGAAGAAAAGTGGTGATTGGCCATCTTTAGTCTCAATGTAAACGGTAATACTGATGAGTGTGGAAAAGGCAGGGAAGAGGATTGACAATAAGTGACACTCATTGTTTTCATCTGAGCTTTGAGACTGAAAGAGGAACACAGGAGTGAGATGTATGGGAACAAACCCCTTCTTTTTCCAGCTAAACAGAGTGGAAGTTGGACACTGAGTTTTGGCGTACAGCAAAATCCTAAGTCCATTGTTGGGTTGAACACGGCCATGTTGTACATCCTGGTTTCACAGCAGACACTGGAGGAAAACAGCCTGTATTCATAAGAGGCTGTCCCTCGGGTCACTGCCCAGAATATCCGGAGTTGGTGCTCACAGGGTTGGGAACTCTCCTGGACCAGACAGGCTCTGGATATGGGGGGGTACCAAGCTCCCCGGGGCCATGCCTCCACAGCTCTCTTCTCACCTCATTCTTGACCATTTCCCAAACCTCTGACCTCACCTTCATTCATCCATGGTGAACACGCTAAAGCTGGCCTTCAAAGCTTGAGACAGAGGAAAATTGGGCTTCATCTCTGGGAACTAAATTGGGGAGTGGAGACTCAGTTCTGGCCTGACAGGAGGGAGAAGACCCTGGATCCCAGTGTGGATGGGAAGAAGTATGTGTTTCTCTTTTGTGCTTGGACCCTGTGTCCAAGCATGTCTGAGATGTGATGAAGATGAATCTTCCTTTCCTTGTCTATTTTCTCATGCCAGAGAATTGGAATCTTATATTCCATTAACTCTTTCTGTTCTGTTCATCCAGATTCTATGAAGGAGAAAGGAAAAGATGTGATACTGTAATTTTGCTCCATTTGTCTAAAATGAGTAGGCTGCAACTCCTCTTGAAGTGATACCTTTTCTAGCTCTTGTTGGAGGTGTCTCAGGACTCATTACTTCGGGGAACCTGCAACTGTGTCAGTCTGGGGAAACTGCAAATATTCTTGTCTTACATTTGTCTCCAGCCAATTGTGATGGACTCCAGTGACCTGCAATTGCTGTTATTGCAGGTAAAATGTACCTGAGTCAGGCCACAGTTCTCCTGGACTATGAGCCCCTGGCCATGTTCCTGAGGCAATTCTGTTCATCTAAATATAATAATAATAACACACTAAAAATGGCAAGCCATTGTTAATTCCTGAAGTCTCATTTGAAAATTACTAAATGTCTGTTATTTTTTGGTGTTTACATTATATGTAGACAGATAAACTACACACACACACACACACACACATGCACACAGAAGAATGGATTGGTTCATGTAGAAAAGTAAATAATTCAAGATGAAAGGATGAAATGTCATGGCACCTACTATTCTATTTTAGATAAAGGGTCTATGAAAAGATTGATTTCTTTTTATGTTTTATTTGTTGACATTTGAACACAAACTATGTAAGTGAGGGAGTCGATTTGAAAGGGAGAAGAGCAAGTTCAAACACATTCAGGTGAGGTCATGCTTTACATGTTTTAATTGAAATGATCCATCTTGGGAGTAGATCAATAACTGAGATGGTGCCAGGAATGTTAAAAAGCTTTTGTCAGTCCTAAATATTGACAAATAAAATTTAATTAAAGTCTTAGAAGAAAACACAAAGGAAAACTTCACAACATCGGATTTGGCAGTGATTCTTTAGATGTGACAACAACGGCACAGGCTACTACAGAAAAAATAAACAAGTTAGACTTTATGAAAATTTTGAAATATTGTGACTCAAAAGACAACATCAGTTACTTCACATGGCAAGGAAAAAGAACTTTTAAGACGATATTATCAAAGTAAAAAGACAACCCACAGAATGGGAGAAAATGTTTTCAAACCACACCACCTGTAAGGGATTAACATCCAGAATATACAGACAACTCCTAAAACTCAATCACAATAAACTCAATTCAAAAATGGGCAAAGTACTGAAACAGACATTTCTCCAAAGAACATACGCATGAAAAGATATTCAGCATCACGAATCATTAGGGAAATACTAACTAAAACTACACCAGATGCCATTTCATACCCCTTAGGATGGGTATCATCAAAACAACAACAACAACAACAACAAAGTTTCTATACATTAACAACAAACTATCCAAAAAAGTTTACAAGAAAATAAGCCCATTTGCAATAACTACAGAAAACAAAACATGCAGGAATAAATTCACCCAAGGAGTAGAAAGATCTGTATGCAAAAGCTATAAAACATTGATGAAAAAACTCAAGAAATAAACAAATAAATCGAAAGATATTCCATGTTCACGGATCAGAAGGATTAATGTTGTTAAAATGTCCATTCTATCCAAAGTGATTCAATGCAACCATTATCAAAAATCCAATGACATTTTTTTTACAGAAATAGAAAAAACAGTCCTAAAATTCATGTGGAACCACAAAAGATCTCAAATAACCAAAGCCATCTAGAGGGAAAGGAACAAAGTTGGAAGCATCACATTACCTAAACACAAACTACATTACAAAATTACAGTAATTAAAACAACACAGTACTTGCATAAAAACAGACACATAGACCAATGGAAGTGATTCATAGCCCAGGAAAAAAATGCATGCATTTAGGGTCAAACAATTTTTGGGATGTGTCAAGAACACACAATGGAGAAGGAACAGTCTCTTTAATAAATGGGATTGGGAGACTGCATGTCCACATGCAGAAGAATGGAAGTGGACATTTGCCTCACAAAACATACAAAGTCAACTCAAGATAGATTAATGACTTAAATGTAAGATGAAAGACTATAATCCCAGCAATTTGGGAGGCCAAGGTGGGCAGATCACCTAAGGTCAGGATTCCAAGACCAGCATGGCCAACATGGTGAAATCCCGCCTCTACTAAAAATACAAAAACAGCTGGGTGTGGTTGTGGGTGCCTGTAATCTCAGCTACTCGGGAGGTTGAGACAGGAGAATCACTTGAACCCAGGAGGTAGAGGTTGCAGTGAGCCGAGATCGCACCACTGCACTCCAGCCGGGGCAACACAGTGAGACTCCATCTTAAAAAAAAAAAAAAAACTACTAAAAGAAATCAAGGGAAAACTCCACTGGCTTGGGCAAAACCATTTTGGATATTAACCCAAAGGCCCAGGCAACAAAAGCAAAAGTAGACAAATAACATTATATCAAATTGAAAGTTTCTGCAAAGAAAAAAAAAACTCAACAAGTGGAAAGACAACCTATGGAATGGGAGAATATATTTGCACCCATACATCTAATAAGGAATTAATATCCAAAATATATAAGAAACTCAAACAACTCAATGGTAAGAAATCAAATAACCCAACTTAAAAAAATGGGCAAAGTATCTGAATAAACATTTCTAAGAATAAGACAAATCACCAAAAGGTATATGAAAAAATGATTAGCATTACTAAACATCAGCTAAATAAAAATTAAAACTAGAATGAGATATCACCTCACACCTCTTAGAATGACCATTAACAGTCTGGGCATGGTGGCTCATGCCTGTAATTCAGGCACTTTGGGAGGCCGAGGCAGGGAGATTACCTGAGGTCAGCAGTTCGAAACCAGCCTGGCCAATATGGTGAAACCCCATCCCTACTAAAAATACAAAAATTAGCAGAGTTTGGTGGCGCACACTTGTAGTCCCAGCTACTCTGGAGACTGAGGCAGGGGAATCGCTTGAACCCAGGAGGCAGAGGTTGCAGTACACCGAGATTGTGCCACTGCACTCCAGCCTGGGTGACAGAGCAAGACTGAGTCTCAAAAAAAAAAAAAAAAAAAGACCATTATCAAAAACATAAAAAATAACAAGGGTTAACGAGGATGTGGAGAAAAGGGAACATTTGTATGCAGTTGATGGGAATGTAAATTAGCACAACCATTATGGAAAACAGTCTGGAAGTTCCTGAAAAAATTAAACATAGAATTCCCATATGTGTCTGCAATCCAACTACTGCGCATGTATCCAAAGGAAGTGGAATCAGTATGTTGAAGAGATATCTGCATTCCCATGTTTACAGCCGCATTATTCATAACAGCCAAGATGTGGAATCACCCTTACTGCCCATCTATGGGTGCATGGACAAAGAAAACGTGGTATACGATAGGAACGTAATGAAGTACTATACAACCTTTACAACAAAGAAGGAAGTCCTCTCATTTGTGACAATGTGAAAAAACTTAGAGGACATTATGTTAAGGGAAACAATCCAGGCACAGAAAGACAAATGCCACATGATCTCATGTGTGGAGTGTAAGAAGTGGAACCTAGAGGAACAGTAAAATGGTCGTCGAAAGAACCTGGGATGGAGAGAGATTGAAGAGATGTTGGTCAAAGGATGCAAAATTTCAGTTAGAAGAAATCGGTTCAAGAGATCTATTGTATGTCTTGGTGACTCCAGTTAATAGCAACATATGGTGTATTGAACATTACTAAGAGATTAGATTTTACATGTTCTCACCACACACACAAAACATACAAGTATGTGAAAAAATAAATATGATAAAGAGGTTGTTTCATCCATTCCACAATGTGTACCTATATGAAAACATCATGATGGACACCACAAATACCCTTTTCCTCATTAATTAAATTTGTTTTGGTTTTTTTTTTGAGATGCAGTTTCACTGTTGTTGCCCAAGCTGAGGTGCAATGGCGTGATCTCCGCTCACTGCAACCTCTGCCTCCCAGGTTCAAGCGGTTCTCCTGACTCAGCCTCCCAAGCAGCTGGGACTACAGTTGCGTACCACCCCGTCCGGCTATATTTGTGTTTCTAGTAGAGACAGGGTTTCGCCATGTTGGCCAGGCTGGTCTCGAACTCCAGACCTCAGGTGATCCACCCGCTTCGCCCTCCCAAAGTGCTAGATTTCAGGCTGAGACACCACACCCAGCCTGTACATTGACTTTCTGCCCTTAAACTGTGCTGAAGTTTGTTTCTCAGATGTAGGAGCCTTTGGGCAGAGACTATGGGGTTTCTAGGTATAGAAATTATCTCATCTTCAAACAGAGGTAATTTGACTACCTCTCTCTGCTACTCTCTTCTTACTTGGATGCCTTATAATTCTTTCTCTTTCCTGATGGCTCTGTCTAGGACTTCAAGTACTATGTTGAATAGGATGGTGAGAGTGGGCATTCTTGTCTTGTTTCACTTATGAAGGGAACTTCTTCCAGCTTTTACTCATTCAGTATGATGTTGGTTGTGGGTTTGTCACAGGCGGCTCTTATTATATTGAGTTATGTTTCTTCAATGCTTAGCTTGTTGAGGGCTTTTAACATGAAGAAATGCTTAGTAAAAAGTATGTTCTACATGTGTGTTGAGAAGATCATGTGGTTTTTGTTTTTAGTTTTGTTTAGGTGATGAATCACATGTATTGATTGTGTATGTTCAACCAACCTTGCACCCTAAGAATAAAGTTGACTTGATCATGGTGGATTCACTTTTTGATATGCTGCGGGATTCAGTTCTTAGTATTTTTTGTGGATTTTTGCCTCTATGTTCATCAGGAATATTGGCATGTAGTTTTCTTTTGTTTAATGTTCTTTTCTGTCTTTAGTATCAGGGTGATGCCAGCCTTATAGAATGAGTAAAGGCCACCCTGGGCAAACAGTGAGACCCATCCCTTTTTAAAAATTATGAGTTTTACAAATTTAAAATGCATAGTGAAAAAGTTCTTACAAACTCCAGAAAGGTAGGTGTAAATAAGAGACATTTGTAAGAATGACAGCACATTAAATGTGTAGATTTCAACCTTCAGTTATTGCAATATTCCAGTATCAAGTTGGAGGATGTTATCAGTCTGATATTTTTTCCTCAAATGAGAGAGAGAAAGAAAGACACACAAACAACACAGGGAGAAAAAAAGCACACGTTACAGAGAGACAAAAAGGGAGACAGGGAACTGTGAATTTGGACTCTTGTGTCATAAGACAAATTCTAGATAACACGACCAGACCTTCAATTGACATATTGTGTTTTTGCTAATAAGGTGGAATTCTATGATGCGAAATAACTATATAGTCTTTTCTACTGGGATTTAAATCATTTTATCTGTTTCTGGCTTAACAGGAAAAATACAACCATGGAAAATTATGATGATTTATTTAATACGATTGCTCTATAGTGTTAATAAAACCTATTAGGTATTTTGCATATTACATATCAAGGAGAGTTTGAATCTCAGGTAGAAACAAAAAAAAATACATCAAAAGTTCCTCATGTGAGTGCAGAATTCAATCGTCCCGTGCAGGGGTAAGTGAGTCTGAGATGTGTTTTGAGCCTGGCCGTTGCGCATGATGTGAAGTGACAAGTCTAGTCTGCAGTTTTCAGAAACCCTCATTCCTCCCTTGACTGATTCACCACTTGAACCTCATATGACGTAGAAGAAGCCTACCTATGTCCCCTTCACATGTTGTGGTCAATGTGTCAACTGCACGATCCGGGCCCCTCACCACATCCTCTGCACCGGTCAGTCGAGCCGAGTCACTGCGTCCTGGCAGCAGAAGCTGCACCATGTCCATGTCACCCACGGTCATCATCCTGGCATGTCTTGGTGAGTCCTGGAAGGGAAGGAGCACCAGGGTTACACTATGGGCCTGCAGATTGGGTGTCTCCCCAGCAGAGAGCCATGTTCTGAAGCAAGTGAGTGGTGAGGATGAGTTAATTTTCAGTCCAGCGTGGCGCCCAGTGGCTCAGGAGGAAAGGGTAGGTTGCTGCCGAGATGAATAGTTCCTCATGATCTTTCTTTGCAGGGTTCTTCTTGGACCAGAGTGTGTGGGCACACGTGGGTGAGTCCTTCCCCAAATGATGGGTTGCCATCTTCACCCCAATACAAGTGAATTTTCCGGAAATGGGAGGGAGGCAGCACAGAGGGTGGGCTGATGGGCTGACCATGGGAAGGCCTGGGGGGAGTCTCTCATGAACTAGTAAGAGGAGATCCTGGGAGTCTCTCATGAACTAGTAAGAGGAGATCCTGGGAGTCTCTCATGAACTAGTAAGAGGAGATCCTGGTATGCTCAGCCTTCTGTTTTGTCTTAGCCCTCCCCAGCCTTTCTTCCCCATGGCTGAGTTGAGCTCTGTGTGGCCCAGGCGGGATACTGAGGTGCTCAAAGCTGGGGTGTGTGGGGGGATGTGGTGTCACCGACAGAGGAGGGAAGGGTAGCAGTGTTAGGAACAGCAGGTCCTCTGAGGACAAGAGGGTAACTCACACCCTCCAGCGTTTCCATGACGGTAGGGGCTGCAGTGTGGCTGCTGTCATTCTGCCAGAAGAGGTGGGGGAACCACAGCCACGACCCTGCCATTCCAAATCCTCTGATGGAGCTCAGTTGTTTATTGTGGTTCAGGCATTAGCTAATATTCCATTCACAAAGGTCATACCCTCCACCCCATGTCTACTTTGTGTTGTTTGGTGTAACTAATCTTGCAGTATTAAAATCTAGTAAGAGTCCCTTACTCAGCACCTGCTCAGTTCTCAACTGACACTTTTGTTGTAGGGAGACGCCACGTCTATGCGGGATGGGTCCTTCCTGTAGCCCCAGGCACCCAGGTGTGGTAGGAGCCTTAGAAAGAAGAAATGGGGAGAATCTTCTGAGCACAGGGAGGGAGGGGCAGCTCAACATACTCCTCTCTGAGGCGGCATCTCCTTCTCCCCAAGGTGGTCAGGACAAGCCCTTCTGCTCTGCCTGGCCCAGCGCTGTGGTGCCTCAAGGAGGACACGTGACTCTTCGGTGTCACTGTCGTCGTGGGTTTAACATCTTCACGCTGTACAAGAAAGATGGGGTCCCTGTCCCTGAGCTCTACAACAGAATATTCTGGAACAGTTTCCTCATTAGCCCTGTGACCCCAGCACACGCAGGGACCTACAGATGTCGAGGTTTTCACCCGCACTCCCCCACTGAGTGGTCGGCACCCAGCAACCCCCTGGTGATCATGGTCACAGGTCAGAGGGCTCCTGTCTGGGCTTCTCCTTGTCCCACCTCCTGAGTCCCAGAGCTTCTGGTGGGGGTGTCCACCAGAGTCCGATCATCCAGGCCCCAACTATATTTGGGGTAAAGGGGGATTGAATACAGGGGAATGGGTGCTGTGTTGGAAAGAATAACTGTCCCCATCGATGGCCACATTGTAATCCTTGGAGCCTGTGACTATGTTATAGGGCAGGGGACTGAAGGGGAAGATGGAGCTCAGGTTGTTGATGAGTTGACCTTGAGATGGGGAGATGGCCTGGACCCTCCCACTGGGCTCAGTGTAATCACAAGGGTCCATATGAGTGGAGAAGGAAGAGGAGAATGGGGATTAGAGCAGCATCGTGGGATACTCCACCAGCCACTGTGGGCTTTGAAGGTGGAGGAAGACCACGAGCCACGAAGGGGCTGGAGAAATCAATGGAACTGATTCTCCCGAGTCTCCAGAGGGAATGCAGCCCTGCAGATGCCTTGATTGTAGCCCAGGAAGAACAGGGTCTGATTTCTGTCTCCAGAAGTGGAAGGGGTCAGTGTGTTCTCTCCTGCCGCCATGTTTGTGATAATTTTCTCCAGCAACATCAGGAAACCAACACAGGAACCCAGGTGAAGGACAAGTTAAAAAACCAAACAAGAAGGTTGGCTACCCTGAGATCAGCAAGGGTGCACTGCTGATGCCACCACCAGGCTGGAACCACATAGGGAGGGATCGACAGGAAGAGTTGGGGGTGGAGGGTGAGAGAGAGAGAGAGAGAGAGAGCACTAGGCCATAGAGCAGGGCAGTGAGTTCTCAGCTCAGGTGGGAGGGGAGCTGTGACAAGGAAGAACCTCCCTGAGGAAACTGCCTCTTCTCCTTCCAGGTCTATATGAGAAACCTTCGCTTACAGCCCGGCCGGGCCCCACGGTTCGCGCAGGAGAGAACGTGACCTTGTCCTGCAGCTCCCAGAGCTCCTTTGACATCTACCATCTATCCAGGGAGGGGGAAGCCCATGAACTTAGGCTCCCTGCAGTGCCCAGCATCAATGGAACATTCCAGGCCGACTTCCCTCTGGGTCCTGCCACCCACGGAGAGACCTACAGATGCTTCGGCTCTTTCCATGGATCTCCCTACGAGTGGTCAGACCCGAGTGACCCACTGCCTGTTTCTGTCACAGGTGAGGAAAGCCAATGTCTGTCCCATGTCCTATGGTCCTAGAGCCTTAGCTGAGGAGCTTCCTGCTGATGATGGAGAGAAGCATGGACAGATGTGGAGAGAAGATGCAGCATGGTGTGAGGGTGGGATCAGGGCACAGGATGGCAGACAGGGCACCTCCAAACCCTCCTGCATGGCCTGCATGGAAGCTTGCAGTAAGGGCTCCGGGTACCCAGGCAGATGGAGAAAGTGGTCAGGACAGACCCAGAGGAGGGAGACTGGGCTCAGTTTGGGGAGATCAGAGGTTCCCTCAGCCCCTCAACCTTACCCATTTCCCAGAAGCCCACCCTGGCCTCTCACCTACACAGAGATGTCATCACCAGCAACCCCTACACTTTTTCTTTTCCTTTGAAAAAATGCTGATTGAGGTTAAATATACCTATATAATTTATCAACTTTACCATTTTTAAGTGTAAAATCTAGGGATCATAAATACCTTTATATGCTGTGTGCGGTGGCTCACGCCTGTAATCTCAGCATTTTGAGACGCCAAGGCAGGTGGATCATTTAAAATCAGGGGCTGGAGACCAGCCCGGCCAACATGGGGGAACCAATCTTTACTAAAAAGACAAAAAAAATAAAATTAGCCAGGCATGGTGCCAGGCGCCTATAATCCCAGCAACTTGGGAGGCTGAGGCGGGAGAGTGGCTTAAACCCAGGAGGAGGAGGTTGCAGTGAGCTGAGATCATGCCACTGCACTGCAGCCTGGTGACACAGAGAGACTCTGTCTCTAAATAAATAAATAAATACTTTTATATTCTTCTTTTGTTACCCTCCACCCCTTCCTTCCTAACCTCTGGTATCCACCATTCTACTCTCTACCTTCATGAGGTCCACCTTTTACATCCTGCATGTGAGTAAGAAATGGCAATCCTTGTAATGACCTCCAGTCCATCCATGTGGCTGCAAATGACAGGACGTTTCTCTTTGTATGGATGAGTTGTCTCCATTGTGTGTATGTACTACATTCTCTCTATCCATTCATCCACTGATGGGCAGGTAGGTTGACTCCACATCTTGGCTACTGTGAACAGTGCTGGAACAGTCATGGGAGTGCAGATGTCACTTCAATACACTGAAGTCCTTTTCTTTGCATTTACACCCACTAGTGGAATTGCTAGATCCTCTGGATGTTCTCTTTTTAGGTTTTGTTTTATGCTTTTTGTTTTTTTGACATAGCGTTTCACTCTTGTTGCCCAAGCTGGAGTGCAATGGCACCACCTGGGCTCACTGCAACCTCTACCTCCAGGATTCAAGTGATTCTCCAGCCTCAGCCTCCCGAGTAGTTGGGATTACTGGTGCCCGCCACCACGCCTGGCTGATTTTTGTATTTTTAGTAGAGACGGGGTTTCACCATGTTAGCCAGGCTGGTCTCGAACTCTTGACCTCCAGTGATCTGCCCACTTCAGCCTCCCAAGGTGCTGGGATTACAAGCGTGAGCCACAGTGCCTAATCTCTTTTTAGTTTTTAAGGAACTTCCATATTCTTCTCCTCTGTAATGGCTGTATTAATTTACATTCCTATCAACAGTGTATCAGGGTTCTCCTTTCTCCACCACCTTGCCAACATTTGTTTTGTCTGTCTCTGAGATAAAACCCATTGTAATGGGGTGAGATGATAGCTCATTGTGACTTCATTTGCATTTCTCTGATGATTAGTGATACTGAGCACTTTTTCATATATGCAATGTATATATGTTCATTTGTATGTTTTGTTCATTGAGAAATGTCTGTTCAGGTCTTTTACTAATTTTATAATTAAATTATTAGTTTTATTGAGGTGTTTGAGCTTCTTTTATATTCTAGTTATTAATCCCATCTCAGATGCATAGTTTGCAAATATTTGCTCCCATTCTGTGGGTTGTCTCTTCTTCACTTCATTGGTTGCTTCCTTTGCGGTGCAGAAGCTGCTTGATTTGATATAATCCCAATGGTCTATTTTTTTGTTGTTGTTGTGATTACTTGTGTTTTTGAGGTTTTAAACAAAATGTCTTCCCTCAGACAAATGTCCTGGAGCATTTCTCCAGTGTTTCCTTTTAGACATTTAATGGATTCAGGTCTTAAGTCATTAATCCATTTTCATCTGATTTTTGTGTATGGTGAGAGGTAGAGGTGCAGTTTCATCCCTCTGCATGTAGATATCCAGTTTTCCCTGCACCATTTATTGAAATGACTGTCCTTTCCAGATTGTAGATTCTTCGAACCTTTGTCAAAGTCCATTGGATGTAAATGGGTGGATTACATCCGTGTTCTTCATTCTGCTCCATTGTTTTATGTGCTTTTCTTTATGCCAATGTCATGTTGTTTTGCTTACTACAGCTCTGTAACATATTTTTAAGTCAGGTAGTGTGATGCTCCTGTTTTCTCCTTATACCTTGAAGTCTCAAGATAGTTGGTGTCACCTACAATGATTATGGAGAATGGGATGCCAGGACTCCCAGGGCCCAACATTAGATAATAGAATGTTGGCCATGAACCAACCTCAAAGATTTCCATTGAGTAGAAGACAGGCATCCTCATTGCCACACCTCTCTCCTGTCCCATGTTCTAGGAAACCCTTCTAGTAGTTGGCCTTCACCCACTGAACCAAGCTTCAAAACTGGTAAGTGAAGGACCCCTCTTATCTCTGCTTTTGGAAACCTGGGGAGGTAGAAGCCTTGGATTCAAGCGTTGGCTCAGCACCTGCCAGCTCTGTGATTGTGGGCCTGTCTTCCATTGTCTCTGAACCCCAGACACTCCAACAGCGAAAGGGATCTGGGCCCAGCACAGGGCTCAGTGAAATCTCTTAATCTCTAATTTTCTGCTGCTGAGACCTCAGGGTAGAAGGATGAGTGCAAATCAGACATTCTTCTCAGGAAAAATGCTGTGTTTGTTCTGCCTGCATTCCTAACTGGGAGGACAAATGCCTGGGGGCTTGAGAAGGGGAAGGACGGGGAACATTTTTGAGGGTGGTGTATTTGTAGAGAAGTTCTACTTGCCAAGGAATGAGCTCCTGTCTGTCATGATCCAACCCTGGTTGACTTAGTGGAACAAGAGCTTTGCGGTAAGAGAGAACGTAGTTCATCCGTGCACATGACACTTCCACTTACTCGTTCAGCCACTGCCCCATGCTCAGACTGTGCAGTGTGGAACCTTTTCCTATGTTGCCATAACAAATTTCCACAAGCTTCGTGGATGGAAACCACATTTTAAAAAAATATCTCATGGTGCTGTAGCTCAGAAGTATGAAATGCATCATCTCACTGGGCTAAAATCAAGGTGACAGCAAGGCTGCCTTCCCTCTGAATGTTCCAGGCAAGAATCTGCTTCCTCACTTTTCCCAGCTCCTAGAGGCTCCCACATTCCTTGGCTCCTGGTCCCCGTCTTCCTCCCTCAAAGTCCACAAAGGCTGGTCACGCCTCTCACACGGCATCACTCAGACCCTTCTTCCTTGTCCACACCTCTTTCTCTGAATGCTGCTCTGCCTTCTTCCTCATCTTTTAAGGACTTTGGCATTCTATTGGAAACACCAAGATAATCCATCATAATTTCCCTAAAATCATCTAGGATACCCTCCTTTTAAGGTTAGCTGATTAGCAACCGTAATTCCATCTGCAATCTGCATTCCTTTTTTCCATGTAAAATAACATATTCACAAGATATGGCGACTAGGACAGGAACATTTTGGGGTGGGGCGGCATTCTTATCCTTTCCACAAATGGTAAACAAGGTGCATTTGGCCTCTGCTCTTGGACACTGATATTGCAAAGGATTAAATGGGAGGGCAGAAAATGAATGCACCAGTGGACCAATAAATGAATGATCCATTGGGAAGCATCTGTGCATGAGAATGATTGATTGATTGGTTGTTTTTATGAGACGGTGTCTCCCTCTGTGCCCCAGGCTGGAGTGCAGTGGCGGGATCTCGGCTCACCGCAACCTCCACCTCCCAGGTTAAAGCGATTCTCTACACTCAGCTTCCCGAGAGGCTGGGATTACACCCATGTCCCACCACGCCTGGCTAATTTTTTTTTGGTATTTTTTTTTTAGTACAGACAAGGTTTTACCATGTTGCCCAGGCTATCTCAAACTCCCAACCTTAAGGGATCCGCCCGTCTCAGCCTCCCAAAGTGCTGAGATTCGAGGCGTGAGCCAAGGCGCCGAGCCGTATTTTAAAAGAAATAATAGATAATGCTGAGTGTATAATTTCGGGTGACAGAGAAGTTCTCACTGATCAAATAATACTTGTGACCTTAATGAAAAAAATAGATCAACCCCTGGAAGATTGGCGGAAGGATTTTCCACACAGCTGTCAGCCGTGAAGGCACAAAGGTGAAAACAATGTTATGTGGAAGGAAGAGGCTCTGCCTGAAATGCTGGGAATGAGATGGGGAGAATGACAAGACGACTGTGGAGAGACAGAGAGCACTCTGGGTACACAGGAAACTAAGGAGGAACAAGGAGCGTGTGTTTGACACTCACAGCCATTGGACTTACCTCGGGGCTAACTGGGAATCCCTACATGATGAATAGTGACTGACATGAAAATAAGGGAGGCCCAGGTGCATAACTGGAATCTAGGAGACTGTGGAAAAGGCAATTCCCGCCCCCCTGGTGAAATGTGGTGCTGATTTAGACACTAAATGAATGAAAGATGGACACAAGATGTGTTTGTGAGGTAGAGTAATTTGCAGGGAGGGCTTGCCTGCTTTGATTTTTCCTAATTGTTTAATCTTCACTTCATTGATTTCTTTCTGAGATTTATTTTTCCTACATGTAAATCAATACTTGGCAGAGGAGTGAGAGATACATGAGGGGTGGTGCAAAGGAAGAGACCTATTATAATATAACACACAAGGTTCTGAACGGTGGCTCACACCTGTAACCCAACATTTTGGGAGGCTGAGGAGGCTGGATCAAGTGAGATCAGGAGTTCGAGATCAGCCTGGACAACATGGTGAAACCCCATCTCTACTAAATATACAAAAACTAGCTGGGGGTGGTGGCGCATGCCTGTAATACCAGCTATTCGGGAAGTTGAAGAAGGAGAATGGCTTCAACCAGGGAGGGAGAGGTTACAGTGAGCCAAGATCGCGTCATTGCACTGCACCCTAGGTGACAGAGTGAGACTCCATGGCAAAAAATAAAAATAAAGAATACATAAATATAATATAACATACACGAATGACAAAGGCACACCAATTCCAATCATCATTTTTCTATTTCTCTATAATGACTTCTTTGATCCTTTATCCTATCCATAAGAAAATCAGGCGAAAACATCTTCCTTATTTGGCTTTCTGTGAGCATGAGATCATATGGAAAATGTGAAACCCACCAGCGCAGGTCCTGGAATAGAGAACGTGATCTGTTCATGGCACAAAACTTGCCCCTTCACCCAAATCCCCCACCTCACCCCTACTTCCAATCACATTAATGATACAGATAGATCATGGGGAGGTAAAAACTAATATTCTTTGGAGTTCAGATCGTAGACTCAGAGACCAGTGCCAGCACTATCTCCTGGTCACCTTTTGGAGTAATTCACAGAAAGACAGGCTGTATTGAAGCAACAGATGATGGAGGGGGTGGTCTTTCCCCCAGACTCTCGGGTGGAACAGCAGCCTAATATCTGACTCCCAAGATGACAAAAGTAGCATGTTGCCCACGAGCTTCATCATTATTTCCTGGCTGTTTGATATAAGACAGCTCAACCTCACTTATGTTGATTTCAATGTCACTGTTTTTTCCTTTTCTTGGAGAATGTAATTTGTTTGAGTCAAGAGGGTTGTGGATGTAGAAACTGTAAAGCACATTCACTGTGTATCAATCCCAGTCCAGTCTTCCCAGAGAAGACTCTAAACACCTCCCATACTGCACCTGGGGCTGTGCCAATTTCTATCACTCACCATCACTCCAGGGAGACAGAACACACAGGGAATACATTACATAGGCAGGTTCATTACTTATAGATAAGCAGCGAGTGACAACAGAAACCTTCCTTTCAGGGTGAGCCAGTCCCTCAAGGCTCAGAAAAACTGCTCAGGACACATGGAGTCACTTCATGTGCACTGTAGCTGGGGGAAGCCAGAAAGCAGCCCAGCCTGGGTTTTGTACCCTGGAGCCACAGGGAACACTCAGCTAAAGCACTGCATGATGTTCTCCTCCAGGAAGAACAGGAAGACAGCCCAGGCTGTTCTGAGACGTTCCTCCTGATCTCAGGATGTTGCTGTCTTAGCCTATTTTTGTTGCTATAAAAGAACACTTGAGCCTGGGTATCTTCTAAAGAAAAGAGATGTGTTTGGCTCACTGATCTGCACGCTGTACTAGAAGCAGGACACTACCATCTATTTCTGGCTGCGGCCTCAGGCTGCTCCCACACTGACAGAAGAGAAGGGGGTCCTGCGTGTGCAGAGACCACAGAGATCACATGGCAAGAGAGGGAGAAAGGGGGTGTGATGGAGCTTCCAAGCTCTTTTTAAGAATCAACTCTCCAGGGTACTAATAGAGGGAGAACTTGCTAACCCCGTCCTCTGGGGACAGCATTAATCTATTCATGATGGATCCACCCCCATGACCAAAACACCCCTCCCAATAGGCACAACCTCCCACACTGGGGATTAAATTTCAAAGTGGGGTTTGGAGGGGTCAAACATTGAAACAATAGCAGTTGTATCATCAGCACATTCTATTGTTATTATGAAAACTATAACGGAGAAAGCAGGAGAAAGCTGGGTCTCCCGCCTCGTGGGTGCTTGTCCTAAAGAGGTGTTTTATGTGGTTGCCTGGCAACCAAGAAATGAGAGACAATCCACAAAGAGGAACTGCTATGGTTAGCTTCTTATTGGATTCTCATCTTCCTCCAGGTATCGCCAGACACCTGCATGCTGTGATTAGGTACTCAGTGGCCATCATCCTCTTCACCATCCTTCCCTTCTTTCTCCTTCATCGCTGGTGCTCCAAAAAAAAAAGTAAGCCTCACGAAGCAGAGGCCAGAGAACTCAGGGCCCTGTGCGGAAGCAGGATGGGAGCACGCAGGTGTGTGTTCCTCACTGGCAGGAAAGTCTCTGGCCCAAGGCAGGAGCCAGAGGCAGAGCTTTCTAGAGAGAGCACCAGACAACCTGCCCCTGCCTTCAGCTCACAGACCATTGCCTGATTGTGAACTGTATCCTCACGTCCCCTGCAGCCACTCACATCCAGGAGAAGATTCCATGACAGGCAGAAAGTGGGAGATAGAATCAATGGGATGGGAACTGACAGCTATTCATGGAATGGGGTCTTGCACTCAGAGAGATGGAATGTCTGAGTCTGGCTGTTGGCAGCTGAGGGACCTCAGGCACCTATGGCCTCCCCCTGTGTGTTGGTATCTGTTCATGAAATGAGGACCCAGAAGTGCCCTCCCAGCTGTTTCGATTGCTTCCGTCTCCTACAGATGCTGCTGTAATGAACCAAGAGCCTGCGGGACACAGAACAGTGAACAGGGAGGTAGGTCCTCCTAGCCCAGCCTCATGGATACAGTCTTATTCCCTAATAGTCCTGAAAAATGTGAACACCCTCCCTCACTCAGGATTTCCCTCTCTCCAGGACTCTGATGAACAAGACCCTCAGGAGGTGACATACGCACAGTTGGATCACTGCATTTTCACACAGAGAAAAATCACTGGCCCTTCTCAGAGGAGCAAGAGACCCTCAACAGATACCAGCGTGTGTATAGAACTTCCAAATGCTGAGCCCAGAGCGTTGTCTCCTGCCCATGAGCACCACAGTCAGGCCTTGATGGGATCTTCTAGGGAGACAACAGCCCTGTCTCAAACCCAGCTTGCCAGCTCTAATGTACCAGCAGCTGGAATCTGAAGGCGTGAGTCTCCATCTTAGAGCATCACTCTTCCTCACACCACAAATCTGGTGCCTGTCTCTTGCTTACCAATGTCTAAGGTCCCCACTGCCTGCTGCAGAGAAAACACACTCCTTTGCTTAGCCCACAATTCTCTATTTCACTTGACCCCTGCCCACCTCTCCAACCTAACTGGCTTACTTCCTAGTCTACTTGAGGCTGCAATCACACTGAGGAACTCACAATTCCAAACATACAAGAGGCTCTCTCTTAACACGGCACTTAGACACGTGCTGTTCCACCTTCCCTCGTGCTGTTCCACCTTTCCTCAGACTATTTTTCAGCCTTCTGGCATCAGCAAACCTTATAAAATTTTTTTGATTTCAGTGTAGTTCTCTCCTCTTCAAATAAACATGTCTGCCTTCATTCTTTAGGTGACTCTTTTTTTGGCTGAAAGTTTCCAGTGTTATCATTACCATGTCCAAATAACTCCAACTGTTCTCCACTGGGTTCTCACCCCTGGACTCTGAGCTTCTGGAAGCAGGGTGGAGCCTCATTTGTCTCTGAGACTCCAATTTCCATCCAAAGATGCAGCACATAAGAGGTTCCAAGGATCGTGAATCACATGAACAAGTGATATTCTTACTCTCTGCAGACCTGGAAAGCTGGCAGAGTCATTCCATGATGAAACATTTGTAGAGTCATAGGCCTTGTTAGTCTCATCTCCACGGGGACACATATCAACACATCATCTTTCATACTATAAATATACAGTCGGTCCTCTGTATCTGTGGGATTTACAGGTGTTTATTGAACCAAATATAAATCAAAAATATTCAGAGAAAAAATCCACAAAGTTTCAAAAAGCAAAACTATGTTGAATGGACACAAATGAAGCTGTGTGTAGGCTGTATCAGGAATTATAAATAATCAAGGGATGATTTCATGTACACAGGAGGATGTGCATGGGTTATTTGCAAATGCTGTGCCATTTCATGTAAGAGGCTTGAGCATCTGCAGATTGTGCTATCTGAGTGGAGATCCTGAGACCAATCACCCACGAATAATGAGGGATGACTGTATATAATTTTTATTTCTCAATTTTAAATATAAAACATAAAAAAATTACAATAACAAGATAAAATAAACAAGTGTTTTATAGTGTGAGAATACTTTTAGATATATTTTTCTCCATGTGTAACCCTTGGGCCCATGTTATTTATTGAGAAGACATTCTATTCCACCTTAAACCACATGGCAGCCTTTGTCAACTATAAAGGGACTGTGTGTACACGGATGTATTTTAGACACTGTTTTCTGCTCAGTGGCTCTCTCTCTGTCCACTCTCTTGAGAATGCTGCATTTTATGCAGCCTTATACAACCCCTAAAATTTGGTAGCTGGAGTCCTCTAGTTATTTATTATAGGCTATTTGCTATGCTTTTTTTATTTTTCTTGAGGCAGAGTCTCGCTCTGTTGCCCAGGCTGGAGTGCAGTGGCACGATCTCGGCTCACTGCAACTTCTGCCTCCCAGGTTCAAGGGATTCCGTGCCTCAGCCTCTTGAATAGCTGGCATTACAAGTGCCTGCTACCAGGCATGGCTAATTTTTGTATTTTTAGCAGAGACATGGTTTCACTATATTGGCCAGGCTGGTCTCAAACTCCTGACCTCGGTTGATCACTCACCTCGGCTTCCAAAGTGCTGGGGAAATTGATTTTCTATAGCATTATGTTACTGGATATTTCTGTAAAATTTAAAATGAGGGAGGCAGAGAGACAGAGAGAGAGCAAACCATGAGTTGGAACTCTGGAATCTTGGGACATGAGACAAATTCTAGATAAATCTACAAAAATCCAGAATTTACATGTTGTGATTTTTGCTGATAAAGTACAATTCTAAGATTGTAAATAATTGCATAATCCTTCCCTGGGAGTTTAAATCATTTGAACTGGTTCTGCTGTAATACTAGAAATACAATCATGAAAAATTCTAATGGTTTATTAGTCACAATTGCTCTGAAAACCTTAATAATACCTATTAGATATTTTGCATATTACACAGGAAGAAGAGTTTGAATCTCAGATAAAAGCAATAAAAATACATGAAAAGTCTTTCATGTTAGCACAGATTTTAGGCATCTCGTGTTCAGGAGGTTGGATCTGAGACGTGTTTTGAGTTGGTCATAGTGAAGGACGCGAGGTGTCAATTCTAGTGAGAGCAATTTCCAGGAAGCCATGCTCCGCTCTTGAGCGAGCACCCACTGGGCCTCATGCAAGGTAGAAAGAGCCTGCGTACGTCACCCTCCCATGATGTGGTCAACATGTAAACTGCATGGGCAGGGCGCCAAATAACATCCTGTGCGCTGCTGAGCTGAGCTGGGGCGCAGCCGCCTGTCTGCACCGGCAGCACCATGTTGCTCATGGTCGTCAGCATGGCGTGTGTTGGTGAGTCCTGGAAGGGAATCGAGGGAGGGAGTGCGGGGATGGAGATCTGGACCTGGAGGTAAAGATATGGGCCTAGAGGTGGAGTTATGGGCCTGGAGGTGGAGTTATGGGCCTGAAGTGGAGATCTGGGCCTGGAGTGGAGATCTGGGCCTGGAGTGGAGATAGGGGCCTGGGGTGGAGATATGTGCCTGGAGTGGAGATCTGGGCCTGGAGTGGAGATATGGGCCTGGGGTGGAGATATGTGCCTGGGGTGGAGATATGGGCCTGGAGGGGAGATATGGGCCTGGAGGGGAGATGTGGGCCTAGAGGTGGAGTGATGGGCCTAGAAGTGGAGCGATGGGCCTGGAGTGGAGATATGGGCCTGGAGGTGGAGTTATGGGCCTGCAGTAGAGATATGGGCCTGAAGTGGAGATATGGGCCTGGAGTGGAGATATGGGCCTAGAGGTGGAGTTATGGGCCCGGAGGTGGAGTTAAGGGCATGAAGTGGAGATCTGGGCCTGGAGTGGAGATATGATCCTGGAGTGGAGATATGGGCCTGGGGTGGAGATACGGGCCTGGAGCAGACATACAAGCCTGGAAAGGAGATATGGGCCTGGAGAGGAGATAGAAGCCTGGAGTGGAAATATGGGCCTGGAGTGGAGATATGAGCCTGGAGTGGATATATGAGCCTGGAGTTGAGATAGGAGCCTGGAGTGGAGATATGGGCCTGGAGTGGACTTATCAGCCTGGAGAGGAGATATGGGTCTGGAGTGGAGATACGGACCTGGAGTGGAGATCTGGGCCTGTTGTGTAGATCTAGGCCTGGAGGTAGAGATCTGGGCCTGGAGGCTGAGTCTCTGCACAGCCGAGATCCTTGTTCCTGGGGGCAGGTAGGCAGCGAGGGTGAGTTTACCTTCAGCCCAGCAAGGGCCTGGCTGCCAAGACGCACAACCCAGTGGGGGCAGCAGGGTGCCCTGGTTTGCCTGCAGATGGATGGTCCATCATGATCTTTCTTTCTAGGGTTGTTCTTGGTCCAGAGGGCCGGTCCACACATGGGTGAGTCCTTCCCCAAACCTTAGGGTGTCATCTCCCCACATAAGAGGATTTTCCTGAAATGGGAGGGAAGTCCTGTCGGGGAGTCTCTCATACACTAGGAAGAGGGGACCCTCGGATGCTCGGCCCACATTTCTGACCTTGCCCTCCCCGGCCTTTCTTTCCCTTTCCTGAGTCAAGCTCTGTGAAGACTGGGGTGAGACTAGGGTGCTCCAAGATGGGTGTGCAGGGAGGAAGTGGTGTCAGCAGCAGAGAAAGAGAGGGAAGCAGTGCTAGGAACAGCAGGTCCTCTGAGGACAAAGGTGTAACTCACACCCTCCAGCGTTTCCGTGATGGTAGGGGCTGCAGTGTGGCTGCGGTCTTTCTACCAGAAAAGGTGAGGAAACCACAGCCATGGCCCTGACATTCCAAATCCTCTGATGGGGGCTCAGTTCATCAATTGGCTGATATTCCATTCACATAGGACTTGCCCTCCATGCCGTGTCTACTTTGTATTGTTTTATATGAGTAATTTTGCAGTATTAAAATCTAGTAAGAGTTGCTTCTCCAGCACTTGCTCAAAGTTCTCAGCTGACACTTGTTGTAGGGAGACGCCATGTCTATGCAGGATGGGTCCTTCCTGTAGCCCTGGGCACCCAGGTGTGGTAGGAGCCTTAGAAAGTGGAAATGGGGAGAATCTTCTGGGCACTGGGAGTGAGGGGCGGCTCCACATCCTCCTCTCTAAGGCAGTGCCTCCTTCTCCCCCAGGTGGTCAGGACAAGCCCTTCCTGTCTGCCTGGCCCAGCGCTGTGGTGCCTCGCGGAGGACACGTGACTCTTCGGTGTCACTATCGTCATAGGTTTAACAATTTCATGCTATACAAAGAAGACAGAATCCACGTTCCCATCTTCCATGGCAGAATATTCCAGGAGGGCTTCAACATGAGCCCTGTGACCACAGCACATGCAGGGAACTACACATGTCGGGGTTCACACCCACACTCCCCCACTGGGTGGTCGGCACCCAGCAACCCCATGGTGATCATGGTCACAGGTCAGAGGCTTTCCGTCTGGGCTTCTCACTGTCCCACCTCCTGAATCCCAGAGCTTCTGGTGGGGCTGTCCGTCAGGGTCCCATCACCCAGGCCCTGGCTGTATTTGGGGTCAAGGGAGATTGAATACAGGGCAAATGGGTGCTGTGGTGGGAAGAATAACTGTCCCCAATGATGGCTACATTGTAATCCCTGGAGCCTGTGACTATTTATGTTATAGGGCAGGGGACTGAAGGGGAAGGTGGAGCTCAGGTTGTTGATGAGTTGACCTTGAGATGGGGAGACAGCCTGGACTGTCCCACTGGGCTCAGTGTAATCACAAGGGTCCGCGTGAGAGGTGGAGGAAGAGGGGAGTGGGGATTAGAGCAGTGTAGTGGGAGGGAGACGCTATCAGCCACTGCGGGCTTTGAAAGTGGAGGAAGACCACTAGTCACAGAATGCAGGTGGCCTCTAAGGGCTGGAGAAGTCAGGAGAACTGATTCGCTGATTCTCCAGAGGGAACGCAGCCCTGTAGACGCCTTGATTTCAGCACAGGGAGAACTGGATCCAATTTCTGTCTCCAGAAGTGGAAGGGGTCAGTGTGTTCTCTCCTGCTGCCATGTTTGTGGTAATTTTCTGCAGCAGCAACAGGAAACCAACACAGGAACCCAGGTCAAGGACAAGTTAGGAACCCAGGTCAAGGACAAGTTAGGAAACCAAACAAGGACAGCCAGGTGTGGTGGTGGGCGCGAGTAATCCAACGACTGGGGAGGCTGAGGCAAGAGAATCACTTGAACTGGGGAGGCAGAGGTTTCAGTGAGCCAAGACAACACCACTACACTCCAGCCTGGGTGAAAAAGTGACTGTCTCAAAAATAAATTAATTAATCAATTAATTAAAGAAACCAAACAAGGAGAAGGTTGGCTACCCTGAGATCAGCAAGGGCAGGATGCTGATGTTACCACCAGGCTCCATCCACATAGGAAGGGGTTGATGCTCCTGGAACCAGCACCAGGGGCCACCCTATGGAAGCTGGGGCCATGGAGAAGGCACAGACATGGCAGGAGAGGCTCCCAATCCCCATCAGGAACAGGGTGTGTGGTCACTGATGTCTGTCTTACTGATGAGTTGATACCACCTGCCAGAGACTCCAATTTGTTCAAAAGAGATTGATTCAGGCTGCTAAGAGCCTGGACATGCAGCCTGTCCTCTTCCACCCCCATATAAACAGCAGGAAAGAGATTAGTGGGAAACAGATACAACAGCCCAAGAGATGAGGCTGTCTTCACAGTGGCAAGGGAGTCAGGGGCTACTGGAGACAGAGGGACAGAGAAGAGGGAGGAAGACAGATGGAGGCACCTGCACCAGGGGATATGGGCACAGAAAAGACACGGAGATGCAGAGAGGGAGGAGAGAGACAGACACGGGGAGGGGAACCCTCACTCATTCCAGGTGCCATGGATGGGATGATAAAGAGAGATGCCTTCTAAACTCACAACTTCTCTTTCTAGGAAACCACAGAAAACCTTCCCTCCTGGCCCACCCAGGTCCCCTGGTGAAATCAGGAGAGAGAGTCATCCTGCAATGTTGGTCAGATATCATGTTTGAGCACTTCTTTCTGCACAAAGAGTGGATCTCTAAGGACCCCTCACGCCTCGTTGGACAGATCCATGATGGGGTCTCCAAGGCCAATTTCTCCATCGGTTCCATGATGCGTGCCCTTGCAGGGACCTACAGATGCTACGGTTCTGTTACTCACACCCCCTATCAGTTGTCAGCTCCCAGTGATCCCCTGGACATCGTGGTCACAGGTGAGAGTGTCTAGACATTGTTCTCATTGTCACTGGGACACAGAGTGAATGATCCAGGACTTGGAACCCCCAGGTGGTCATGAGGAAGATAAGTGTGGGATTCTTATGGAAAGAGAGTGACTTGGTGAGGTCTGTACCAACAGAGACAGAGAAACAGGAGACATAAGTACAGAACAGGTGTCATAACAGGGGACAGACACAGGGGCCATACAGGGAGGTAGAAAAGAGAGAAAGAGGTAAAGGAGACACTCAGACAGACAGACATGTCCCAGAGAGAGGTGTCCTTCCATGCTGACTTTGCTCAGAGACCTGGCACAGGTTAGAAGTTTCATTTCTGTTTTACCTCCACAAAGTGTTTCTACCAGAAGAACCCAAGGACACCCATATTTCTGACCTGAGTTGGGCCCTGTGGCCTCAGGCCTTGTGCCACCTACAGATGCCGTGTTTATTCTGACACCTCTGCCTTCCATGCAATGGAGAGTAATCATCCCAGGATATCATGGCCCCAGAACACCAACCCCTGTATGCTGTGTGAACTTGGGGTCCCCAGACTGGATTCTGAGGCTCATATTCCAAATAATCCCACATATGATAGGATCGCTGAGAGACACAGAGAAAAATCAGGGACACCAAAAAGCAAAGACATAAACACACACAAAATGAGCCAGAAGAAGGAGATTAAGAGATTCACAGACACATAAAAAGAAAGAAAAGAGGGCAGAGTGGAGAGAATGATGGAAAGGAGGAGAGAAAAGCCCCAAAATCAGAACCCTGAGGGAGGGACACAAAGACAGAGAAAGATAAAGATGTGGGGATGGATTGCAGAGATTCCAAATAGAACTAGAGAGACTGAGAGGCAGAGAAAGACAAGGAGACGGAGAGAGAGAGATGATAGATGGATAGATAGACGTAGATAGATGATAAATAGGTAGATGATAGATAATGGATTGGTTATAGATACATAGATGATGACTGATAGATGATACATAGAGATGATGATGATGACGATGATGATGATAGACACATAGATATATACATAGATGATACATAAATAGAGACAGAGAGGCAGACAGAGAGGTAATAGAGAGAGAGATAGATGATACATATATAGATAATAGATGATTGATGGATAGATAGACAGATAGACAATTGATAGAGAGATAGATAAGTGATACATAAATATAGATGATAGATAATTTGTAGATAGACACAAAATAGATAAATAGATAGATCGATAGATAATAGATAGAAATGTGCAGAAAGTTATGAACAAGACAGAAAGTGAGAGACTCAAAATTAAAGAAAAAGGAAGATCAAGTCAACCAATCCAAGGAGGGTCAGAGAGAATAAAACAATCCAAAAAGGGAAAACATACCTCAGGGTGGGGAAGTGAGGTCATAGACCTAGAGAGACAGAAAAGGTAGAAGGAGGAAACAGATATGAAGAGAGATGGGGTGGAGAGTGAGAGAGAGAGAGAGAGCATTAGGTCATAGAGCAGGGGAGTGAGTTCTCAGCTCAGGTGTGAGGGGAGCTGTGACAAGGAAGAACCTCCCTGAGGAAACTGCCTCTTCTCCTTCCAGGTCTATATGAGAAACCTTCTCTCTCAGCCCAGCCGGGCCCCAAGGTTCAGGCAGGAGAGAGCGTGACCTTGTCCTGTAGCTCCCGGAGCTCCTATGACATGTACCATCTATCCAGGGAGGGGGGAGCCCATGAACGTAGGCTCCCTGCAGTGCGCAAGGTCAACAGAACATTCCAGGCAGATTTCCCTCTGGGCCCTGCCACCCACGGAGGGACCTACAGATGCTTCGGCTCTTTCCGTCACTCTCCCTACGAGTGGTCAGACCCGAGTGACCCACTGCTTGTTTCTGTCACAGGTGAGAAAAGCCCATATCTCTCTCATGTCCTATGATCCTAAATCCTTAGCTAAGGAGCTTCCTGCTGATGATGGAGAAAAGCATGGACAGATGCAGAGAGAAGACACAGCAGGTGTGAGGGCGGAGTCAGGGCGCAGGATGGCAGACAGGGCACCTCCAAACCCTCCTTCATGGCCTGCATGGAGGCCTCCGATCAGGGCTCCAGGCACCCAGGCAGATGGAGAAAGCGGTCAGGACAGACCCAGAGAAGGGGAGACTGGGCTTAGTTTGGGGAGATCAGAGGTTCCCTCAGCCCCTCAATCTTACCCATTTCCCAGAAGCCCATCATGGCCTCTCACCCACACAGAGAGATATCATCACCAGCAACCCCTACACCCTTTTCTTTTCATTTTCAAAAATATTTATTGAGGTTAAATGTAACTATATAATTTACCACCTTTACCATTTTTAAAAGTAAAATCTAGTGGTCATAAATACCTTTATATGCTGGGCGTGGTGGTTCACAGTTGTAATCTCGGCGCTTTGAGAGGCCAAGGAAGGTGGATCATTTAAGATCAGGAACTCGAGATCACCCTGGCCAACATGTGGGAAATTCATCTTTACTAAACAGACAAGAAAAATTAGCCGAGCATGCTGGCATGCACCTGTAGTCCTAGCTACTTGGGAGGCTGAGGCAGGAGAAGCACTTAAAGCCAGGAGGCCGAGGTTGCACTGAGCCGAGATCATGCCACTGCACTGCAGCCTGGGAGACAGAGAGAGACTCTGTTTCTAAATAAATAAATACATCTATATTCTTTTTTTTGTTACCCTCCACCCTTCCCTTCCTGGCCTCTGGTGTCCACCATTGTATTCTCCACCTTCATGAGATCCACCTTTTATCTCCTGCATGTGGGTGAGAAATGGGAATCTTTGTAATGACCTCCAGTTCCATCCATGTGGCTGCAAATGACAGGATGTTATTGTTTCTATGGATGAGTAGTCTCCACTGTGTGTGTGTACCACAGTTCTCTATCCATTCACCCACTGATAGGCAGGTAGGTTGACTCCACATCTTGGCTACTGTGAACAGTGCTGGAACAGTCATATGAGTGCAGATATCACTTCGATACACTGATGTCCTTTCCTTTGGATATAAACCCAGTAGTGAAATTGCTGGATACTATGAAAGTTCTCTTTTTTTTTTTTTTCTTTTTTGAGAAAGAGTTTCCCTCCTTAGTCCAAGCTGGAGTCTAAGTGGTGAGATCTTGGCTCATTGCAACCTGTGCCTCCTAGGTTCAAATGATTGTCCTGACTCAGCCTCCCTAGTAGCTGTGATTACAGGTGCATGCCACCATGCCTGGCTAATTTTTGTATTTTTTTAGCACAGACGGGATATCCCAATTTTGGGCAGGCTGCTCTCAAACTCCTGACCTCAAGTGAGGTGCCTGCCTCGGTTTCCCAAAGTGCTGAAATTACAGGCATAAGCCACTATGCCCAGCCTCCTTTTAGTTTTTTAAAGAATTTCCATACTTTTCTCCATAATAGTTGTACTAATTTACATTCCTACCAACAGGGTACCAGGGTTCTCCTTTCTCTACCATCTTGCCAGCATTTGTTTTGCCTGTCTTGCAGATAAAAGCCATTTTACTTTACTTTATTTTATTTATTTATTTATGTTGAGATGGAGTTTCACTCATAGTCGCCCAGGCTGGAGTGCAAGGGTGTGATCTCAGCTCACTGCAACCTCCGCCTCCCGCGTTCAACTGATTCTCCTGCCTCAGCCTCCAAAGTAGCTGGGATTACAGGCGTGTGCCACCACGCCTAGCTAATTTTTGTATGTTTAGTAGAGAGGGAGTTTCTCCATGATGGTCAGGCTGGTCTCCCGACCTCAGGTGATCCGCCCACCTCCGCTTCCTGAAGTGCCGGAATTACAGGCGTGAGCCACCGGCCTAAAAGGCATTTTAATGGGATGAGATGAAAACTCATCGCGATTGTAATTTACATTTCTCTGATGATGAGTGATGCCGAGTACTTTTTCATATACGTGATCGCCATTTCTATGTTTTGTTTGTGGAGAAATGTCTCCTCATGTCTTTTGCTCGTTTTTTAATTAAATTGTTTTATTGAGTTGTTTGAGCTTCTTATATTTCCAGTTATTAATCCCGTCTCAGATGAATAGTTTGCAAATATTTGCTCCTATTTTGTGGGTTGTCTCTTCACTTTCTTGGTTTATCTTTTGTGGTGCAGAAGTTGCTTGGTTTGATGTAATCCTAATGGTCTATTTTTTGCTTTGATTACTTGTGTTTTGAAGGTTTTAAACAAAATGTCTTTCGTCAGACAAATGTCTTCCCCATTATTTTCTTCTACATGTTTCATAGGTTCAGGCCTTAGACTCATGTTTTTAATCCATTTTCATTTGATTTTTGTTTATGGTGACAGGTATAGATGCAGTTTTATTCCTCTGCATGTAGATATCCAGTTTTCCCCACACCATTTATTGAAAAGACTGTCCTTTCCTGATTGTGAGTTCTTGGCACCTTTGTCAAAGTCCATTAAATGGGCTGGGTATGGTGGCTCACACCTGCAATTCCAGCACTTTGGGAGGCCGAGGCGGGTGGATCACCTGAAGCCAGGAGTTCAAGACCAGGCTGGCCAACAGAGTGAAACCTCGTCTCTACTAAAAATACAAAAATTAGCTGAGCATGGTGACCAGTGCCTGTAATACCACTACTCGGGTGTTTGAGGCAAGAGAATTGCTTGAATCCAGGAAGTGGAGGTTGCATTGAGCTGAGATTGCACCTCTGCACTCCAGCCTGCATGACAGAGCAAGATTCCATCACACACACACAAAAAAAAGCCATTGGGTGTAAATGCATGGATCATATCCGTGTTCTCCATTCTGTTCCATTTTTTATGTGCCTTTCTTTATGCCAATGTCATGCTGTTTTGCTTACTACAGCTCTGTAACATATTTCTAAGTCAGGTAGTGTGATGCTCCTGTTTTCTCTTTATACCTTCAAGTCTCAAGACAGTGGGCATCGCACACAAAAATTATGGAGAAGAGGATCCCAAGACTCCCAGGGTCCAACATTAGATAACAGAGTGTTGGCCATGAACCAACCTCAAAGATTTCCATTGAGTAGAGGACAAGCACCCTCATTTCCTCACATCTCTCCTGTCCCATGTTCTAGGAAACCCTTCAAGTAGTTGGCCTTCACCCACAGAACCAAGCTCCAAATCTGGTGAGTAAAGGACCCCTCTTATCTCTGCTTTTGGAAACCTGGGGAGGTGGAAGCCTTGGATGCAAGCGTTGGCTCAAACCTCCCAGCTCTGTGAATGAGGGCCTGTCTTCCACCATCTCTGAACTCCAGACACTCCAACAGTGAAAGGGATCTAGGGCCACCAAAGGGCTCAGCGAAGTCTCTTAACCTTTAATGTCCTGCAGGTGAGACCTCCTACAAGCTAGAAGAATGATTGCCAATCTGACATCCTTCTCAGGAAAAATGCAGTGTTTTTTCTGCCTGCATTCCTAACTGGAGGATAAATTCCTGGGGACTTGAGAGAGGGAAGGGAAGGGAACATCTCATGAGGGTGGGTGTTTTAGAGAAGTTCCACTTGCCAAGGAATGAATTACTGTTGGTCATGAAGCAACCCTGGCTGACTCAGCAGAGCAAGAGCCTTGCCGTAACAGAGAACAGAGCTCATGCACGCACACTTCGACTCACTGACTCATTCAGCCACGGCCCCATGCTCAGGCTGTGCAGTTGGAATCCTTTCCTATTGTTGCCATAACAAATTTCCACAAGATTCGTGGGTGAAAATAAAGCGGCTTTTTAATTATCTTACAGTGCTGTAGCTCAAAGTATGAAGTGCATCTCACTGGGCTAAAAACAAGGTGACAGCAAGGCTGCCTTCCCTCTGAGGGTTCCAGGCAAGAATCTGCTTCTCACTTGTCCCAGCTTCTAAAGGCTCCCAGTTCCTTGGCTCCTGGTCCCCTTCCTCCTTCCTCAAAGCCCACAAAGACTGGTCACATCTCACATGGCATCACTCAGACCCTTCTTCCTTACCACACCTCTTTCTCTGAATGCTGCTCTCCCTTCTTCCTTATCTTTTGAAAACTTGGGGATTCTATTGGGTTCACCAAGATGAAAATCCATCATAATCTCCCGGAAATCATTCAGGATACCCTTGTTTTAAGTTCAGCTGACTAGCAACCGTAATTCCATCTGCAATCTTCATTCCTCCTTTCCATGTAAAATAACATATTCACAAGCTATGGAGGCCAGGACAGGGACATTTTGGGGTGGGACAGCATTCTCCTGCCTTCCACGAACGGTGAACAAGATGCATTTGGCCTCTGCTCTTGGGACACTGATATTGCAGATGGTTAAATGGGAGGGCAGAAAATGAATGCACAAGTGGACCAATAAATGAATGATCCATTGGGAAGCATCTGTGCATGAAATCTATTTGTTTGTTCGTTCATTTATTTATTGAGACAGAGTCTCCCTCTGTCTTCCAGGCTACAGTGCAGTGTCACGATCTTGGCTCACTGCAACCTGCGTCTCCTGGATCCAAGTGATTCTCCTGCCTCACCCTCTCGAGTAGCTGGGATTACAGGCAACTGCCACCATGCCCGGCTAACTCTTTTTGTATATTTTTTGTAGAGAGGATGTTTCACCATGTTGGCCAAGCTTGTCTGAAACTCCCAACCTCAAGTGATCCGACCATCTCAGCAACCCAAAGTACTGGGATTACAGGCGTGAGCCACTTTGCCCAGCCAGAATTCAAAATCAATAATAGATAATGCTGAGTGTATAATTTTGGGTGACAGAGAAGGTCTCACTAATCAGATATTTGTGACATTAATGAAAAACACGGATTGAACCCCTGAAAGATTGGCGGAAGGATTTTCCACACAGCTGTCAGCTGTGAAGGCACAAAGGTGAAAACAATCTGATGTTGAAGGAAGAGGCTCTGCCTCAAATGCTGGGAATGAAGTGGGGAGAATGACAAGACGACTGTAGAGAGACGGAGAGCACACTGGGTACACAGGAAACTAAGGAGCAACAAGGAGTGTGTGTTTGACACTCACAGCCATTGGATTCACCTCGGGGTAACCAGGAATCCCTACATGATTAATATGACTGACATGAAAATAAAGGAGGCCCAGGTGCGTAACTGGAATCTAGGAGACTGTGGAAAAGGCAATTGCCACCCCACTGGTGAAATGTGGTGCTGATTTAGACCCTAAGTGGATGAAGCAGATGGATATAAGCTATGCTTGGGAGGTAGAATCATTTGCAGGGAGGGCTTGCTGGGTTTGAGTTTCCTAGTTGTTTAATCCTTGCTAAATTAATTTCTTTCTGAGATTTATTCCTCCTACACATAAATCAATACCTGGCAAAGGAGTGACAGATATATGAGGGGTGGTGGAAATGAAGGGACCTATTATAGCATAGTATACAAGTCTGTGAACGGTGGCTCACTCCTGTAACCCAGCACTGCAGGAGGCTAAGGCCAGTGGATTCCAAGAAATCAGGAGTTCGAGACCAGCCTGGCCAACATGGTGAAACCCTATCTCTACATGGTGAAACCCTATCTCTCCTAAAAATACAAAAATTAGCCGAGCATGGTGGTGCATCCCTGTGATCCCAGCTCCTGCTCTGGAGGATGAAGCAGGAGAATGACTTCAACCCAGGAGGTGGAGGTTGCAGTGAGTGGAGATCGCATCACTGCACTCCAGCCTGGGTGACACAAGGAGACTCCGTCTCAAAAAATAAAAATAAGAAATGCATAAATATAATAAAACACACACGAACGACAAAGGCACCTGAATTCCCATCATCATTTTTCTATTTCTCTATAATTACTTCTTTGATTCTTTATCTTATCCATTAGACAATCAGCCTAAAACCTCTTCCGTATTTGGCTTTCTGTGAGCATGAGATCATATAGAAAATGTGAAAGCCCGCTGAATCCTCCAGCACAAATCCTGGAATAGAGAAAGTGCTCTGGTCATCACAAAAAAAACTTGCCCCCTCACCCAAATCCCCCACCTCACCCCTACTTCCAATCACCTGTGCAGATACAGATAGACCATGGGGAGGTAAATGCTAATACTCCTTGGAGTGAGTCCAGATCTTGGAATCAGAGATCAGTGCCAGCACTAGCTCCTGCTCCCCTTTCCTACTAATTCACAGGAGGACAGGTGGTATTGAAGCAATAGATAGTCGAGGGGGTGGTCCTTCCCCCAGCCTGTCAGGTAGAACAGCAGCCTAACATGTGTCTCCCGAGATCACAAAGAATAGCACATTTCACACGGGCTTCAACACTATTTTCTGGCTGTTTGACATAAGAGAATTCTACTTCGCATTTTTGATCTTGATTTCACTTTTGTTTCCTTTTCTTGGAGAATGCAAGTTGTTTAACTCAAGAATGCCGTGGATGTAGAAATCCTAAAGCACATTCGCTGTGTATCAATCCCAGTCCAGTCTTCCCAGAGAAGACTCTAAACACCTCCTGGACTGCACCTGGGCCTATGCCAATTCCTATCACTCACCGTCACTCCAGGGAGACAGAACACACAGAGAACACATTACACAGGCAGGTTCATTACTAACAGATAAGCAGCGAGTGACAACAGAAGCCTACATTTCAATGTGAGCCAGTTCCCCAAGGCTCAGAAAAGCTGCTCGAGACATGTGGAGTCACCCCATTTGCAGTGTAGCTGGGGGAAGCCAGAAAGCAGCCCAACCTGGGTTTTGTACCCTGGAGCCACAGGAAGCACTCAGCTAAAGCACTGCATCACGTCCTCCTCCAGGAAGAACAGGAAGACAGCCCAGGCTGTTCTGGGACTTTCCTCCTGATCTCAGGAAGTTGCTGTCTTAGTCCATTTTTGTTGCTCTAAAGGAACACTTGAGCCTGGGTAACTTCTAAACAAAAGATTTTGGTTTGCCTTACAGTTCCGCAGGCTGTACTGGAAGCATGGCACCAGCATCTATTTCTTGTGACTGCCTCAGGCTGCTCCCACTCTGGCAGAAGGGAAGGAGGGTCTGTCTGTGCAGAGACCACAGAGATCACACGGCAAGAGAGGGAGCAAGGGAGAGGGGGAGTGATGGAGCTTCCAAGCTCTTATGAACAACCAGCTCTCCAGGAACTAATAGAGGGAGAACTTGCTAACCCCGTCTCCTTAAAACAGCATTGATCTGTTCATGATGTATCCACCCCCATGACTCAAACACCTCCCAAGAGGCCCACCCTCCCACACTGGGGGGTAAATTTCAATCTGAGGTTTGAAGGGGTCAAACATCTCAACTAAAGTAGTGGTATCCTCAGCACGTTCTATGGTTACTATGAGAGCTATAACTGAGAAAGCAGGAGGAAGCTGGGTCTCCCGCCATCTGGGTGCTTGTCCTAAAGAGACGCTGTATGTGGTTACCTGTGAATCAAGAAATGCAAGACAATTCATAAAGAGGAACTGCTATGATTAGCTTCTTATTGGTGTCTCCTCTTCTTCCAGGTAACCTCAGACACCTGCACATTCTGATTGGGACCTCAGTGGTCAAAATCCCTTTCACCATCCTCCTCTTCTTTCTCCTTCATCGCTGGTGCTCCAACAAAAAAAAGTAAGTCTCACGAAGCAGAGGCCAGAGAGCTCAGGGCCATGTGGGGAAGCAGGATGGGAGCACACGGGTGTGTGTTCCTCACCAGCAGGATGGTCCCTGGCCCAAGACAGGAGCCACAGAGGCAGGACTTTCTAGAGAGAGCACCAGATTCCCTTCCCCTGCCTTCAGCTCACAGACCATTGCCTGATTCTGAACTGTATCCTCACGTCCCCTGCAGCCACTCACATCCAGGAGAAGGTTCCATGACAGGCAGAAAGTGGGAGATAGAATCAATGGAATGGGACCTCAGAGCTATTCATGGGATGGGTCCTTGAACTCAGAGAGATAGAATGTCTGAGTCTGCTGTTGGCAACTGAGGGACCTCAGGCACCTATGGCCTCCCCCTGTTTGTTGGTATCTGCTTATGAAATGAGGACCCAGAAGTGCCCTCCGAGCTCTTTTGTTGACTTCCGTCTTCTACAGATGCTGCTGTAATGGACCAAGAGCCTGCAGGGAACAGAAGTGAACAGCGAGGTAGGTGCTCCTCGGCCCAGCCTCGTGGCTAGTGTTATTCCCAAAGAGTCCTGAAAAATGTGAGCACCCTCCCTCACTCAGCATTTCCCTCTCTCCAGGATTCTGATGAACAAGACCATCAGGAGGTGTCATACGCATAATTGGAACACTGTGTTTTCACACAGAGAAAAATCACTCGCCCTTCTCAGAGGCCCAAGACACCCCCAACAGATACCAGCATGTACATAGAACTTCCAAATGCTGAGCCCAGATCCAAAGTTGTCTTCTGTCCACGAGCACCACAGTCAGGCCTTGAGGGGATCTTCTAGGGAGACAACAGCCCTGTCTCAAAACTGGGTTGCCAGCTCCCATGTACCAGCAGCTGGAATCTGAAGGCATCAGTCTTCATCTTAGGGCATCGCTCTTCCTCACACCACAAATCTGAATGTGCCTCTCACTTGCTTACAAATGTCTAAGGTCCCCACTGCCTGCTGGAGAAAAAACACACTCCTTTGCTTAGCCCACAGTTCTCCATTTCACTTGACCCCTGCCCACCTCTCCAACCTAACTGGCTTACTTCCTAGTCTACTTGAGGCTGCAATCACACTGAGGAACTCACAATTCCACACATACAAGAGGCTCCGTCTTAACGCAGCACTTAGACACGTGCTGTTCCACCTTCCCTCATGCTGTTCCACCTCCCCTCAGACTAGCTTTCAGCCTTCTGTCAGCAGTAAAACTTATATACTTTTTAAAATAACTTCAATGTAGTTTTCCATCCTTCAAATAAACATGTCTGCCCCCATGGTTTCGGTAATGGGACTCTTTTCTTGCCTAAGGCTTCCGGTGTTATCAGTACCATGTCCATATAATCCCATCTGTTCCCCACTGAGTTCTCATCCCTGGACTCTGATCTTCTGGAAGCAGGGTGGAGCCTCATTTGTCTCTGGGACTCCAATTTCCATCCAAAGATGTAGCACATAGGAGGTTCCAAGGATCGCGAATCACATGAACAAGTGATACTCTTACTCTCTGCAGACCTGGAAAGCTGGCAGAGTCATTCCACAATGAAACATTTGTAGAGTCATAGGCCTTGTTAGTCTCATCTCCATGGGGACACATATCAACACATCTTCTTTCATAATATAAATATACGGTCACTCCTCCATATCTGCGGGGTTTACAGGTGTTTATTGAACCAAGTATAAATCAAAAATATTGAGAGAAAGTATCCACAGAGTTTCAAAAAGCATAACTATGTTAAATGGACACAAATGAAGCTGTGTGTAGGCTGTATCAGGAATTATAGGTAATCTAGAGATGATTTCATGTATACAGGAGGATGTGCATAGGTTATTTGCAAATGCTGTGCCATTTCATATAAGAGGCTTGAGCATCTACAGATTTTGGTATCTGAGTGGAGATCTCAAAACCAATCACCCACGAATAGTGAAGGATGACCGTATATGACTTTTATTTCTCAAATTTAAATATAAATCATAAAAAATGTACAACTAGATAAAAACTAAGAAGTGTTTTTATAGTGTCAGTTAGATTTATTTTTTACTAGGTGTAACCCATTGGTTTAATATTATTTATTGAGAAGACATTCTATGCCACCTTAAACCACACAGCAGCCTTTGTCAACTCTAAAGGGATTGTGTGTACATGGATGTATTTTAGACACTGTTTCTGCTAAGGGGCTCTCTGTGTCCACACTCTTGATGACGCTGCACTTTATGTAGCCTTATAGAACCCTTTAAATTTAGTAGCCAGAGCCCTCTAATTTGTTATTATAGGCTATTTGCTTTTTTTTTCTTGAGGCGGAGTCTTGCTCTGTCGCCCAGGCTGGACTGCAGTGACACAATCTCAGCTCACTGCAACCTCCACCTCCCAGGTTCAAGCGATTCTCGTGCCTCAGCCTCTTGAGCAGCTGGCGTTACAGGTGCCTGCCACCAGGCACGGCTAATTTTTGGATTTTTAGCAGAGACACGGTTTCACTATGTTGACCAGGCTGCTCTCAAACTCCTTATCTCAGTTGATCCGCCCACCTCGGCTTCCCAACGTGCTGGGGAAAACTTGATTTTCTATAGCATTATGTTACTGGATATTTCTGTAAAATTTAAAACGAGGGAGGGAGAGAGACAGAGAGAGATCAAACTCCAGAGTTGGGACTCTGGAATCTTGGGTCATGAGACAAATTTTAGATTAAACTACAAAACTCCAGAATTTACAGGTGTGGTTTTTGCTGATAAAGTACAATTCTAAGATTGTAAATAATTGCATAATCCTTCCCTGGGAATTTAAATCATTTTAGCTGGTTCTGCTGTAATACTAGAAATACAAGCATGAAAAATTCTAATGGTTTATTAGTCACAATGACTCCGAAAACATTAATAATACCTATTAGATACTTTGCATATTACACAGGAAGAAGAGTTTGAATCTCAGATAAAAACAATAAAAATACATGAAAAGTCTTTCACGTTAGCACAGATTTTAGGCATCTTGTGTTCGGGAGGTTGGATCTGAGACGTGTTGTGAGTTGGTCATAGTGAAGGACGCGAGGTGCCAATTCTAGTGAGAACAATTTCCAGGAAGCCGTGTTCCGCTCTTGAGCAAGCACCCACTGGGCCTCATGCAAGGTAGAAAGAGCCTGCGTACGTCACCCTCCCGTGATGTGGTCAACATGTAAACTGCATGGGCAGGGCGCCAAATAACATCCTGTGCGCTGCTGAGCTGAGCTGGGGCGCGGCCGCCTGTCTGCACCGGCAGCACCATGTCGCTCATGGTCATCAGCATGGCGTGTGTTGGTGAGTCCTGGAAAGGAATAGAGGGAGGGAGTGCGGGGATGGAGATCTGGGCCCAGAGGTGGAGATATAGGCCTGGAGGTGGAGTTATGGGCCTGGAGTGGAGATCTGGGCCTGGAGTGGATATATGGGCCTGGAGATGGAGTGATGGGCCTAGAAGTGGAGATCTGGGTCTGGAGTGGAGATATGGGCCTGGAGGTGGAGATATGGGCCTGGAGTGGAGATCTGGGCCTGGAGTGGAGATAGGAACCCGGAGGGGAGATAGGAGCCTGGAGTGAAGATATTGGCCTGGGATGGAGATATGGGCCTGGAGTGGAGACATGGGCCTGGAGGTGGAGATATGGGCCTGGAGGTGGAGATATGGGCCTAGAGGTGGATATCTGGGCCTGGAGTGGACATATGGGCCTAGGATGGAGATATGGGCTTGGGGTGGAGATATGGGCCTGGATTGGAGATATGGGTCTAGGGTGGAAATATTGGCCTGGAGTGGAGATATGGGCCTGGAGTGGAGATATGGGCTTGGGGTGGGGATAGGGGCCTGGGGTGCGGATATGGGCCTGCAGGCTGGGTCTCTACACAGCCGACAGCCCTGTTCTTGGGTGCAGGCTGGCACTGAGGGTGAGTTTCCCTTCAGCCCAGCAAGGGCCTGGCTACCAAGACTCACAGCCCAGTGGGGGCAGCAAGGGAGTCCTGGTTTGCCTGCAGATGGATGGTCCATCATGATCTTTCTTTCCAGGGTTCTTCTTGCTGCAGGGGGCCTGGACACATGAGGGTGAGTCCTTCTCCAAACCTTCGGGTGTCATCTCCCCACATAAGAGGATTTTCCTGAAACAGGAGGGAAGCCCGGTGGGGGATTTTCTTATAAACAAGGATGAGGAGACCCTGGGGTGCTCAGCCCACAGTTCCGACCTTGCCCTCCCCAGCCTTCCTTTCCCTTGGCTGAGTCAGGTTCTGTGGGAACCCGGGAGGGTAGACTGGGGTCCTCCAAGCTGGGCTGTGCGGCTGGGATGTGGTGTCACTGGCAGAGGAAGGGAGCAAAGCAGTGCTAGGAACAGCAGGCCTCTGAGGACAAAGGTGTAACTCACACCCTCCAGCGTTTCCATGACGGTAGGGGCTGCAGTGTGGCTGCTGTCATTCTACCTCAGAGGTGGGGGAACCCCAGCCAGGGCCCTGACCTTCCAAATCCTCTGTTGGGGGCTCAGTTGTGTATTGTGGTTCACACATTGGCTGATATTCCATTCACAAAGAACATGCCCTCGACCCCATGTCTATTTGTGTTGTTTTATGTGAGTAATCTTGCAGTATTAAAATCTAGTAGGAGTCCCTTACTCAGCACTTGCTCAAAGTTCTCAGCTGACACTTTTGTTGTAGAGAGACGCCAAGTCTATGCGGGGTGGGTCCTTCCCGTAGCCATGGGCACCCAAGTGTGGTAGGAGCCTTAGAAACGAGGAAAGTGGGGAGAATCTTCTGAGCACTGGCAGGGAGGGGCGGCTCCACATCCTCCTTTCTAAGGTGGCGCCTCCTTCTCCCCCAGGTGGACAGGACAAGCCCTTGCTGTCTGCCTGGCCCAGCGCTGTGGTGCCTCGAGGAGGACATGTGACTCTTCTGTGTCGCTCTCGTCTTGGGTTTACCATCTTCAGTCTGTACAAAGAAGATGGGGTGCCTGTCCCTGAGCTCTACAACAAAATATTCTGGAAGAGCATCCTCATGGGCCCTGTGACCCCTGCACACGCAGGGACCTACAGATGTCGGGGTTCACACCCGCGCTCCCCCATTGAGTGGTCGGCACCCAGCAACCCCCTGGTGATCGTGGTCACAGGTCAGAGGACTCATGTCTGGGCTTCTCCTTCTCCCACTTCCTGAATCCCAGAGCATCTGGTGGGGGTGTCCACCAGGGTCCAATCATCCAGGCCCTGACTGTATTTGGTGTCAATGGGGATTGAATACAGGGGAATGGGTGCTGTGGTGGAAAGAGTAACTGTCGGCAGCATGGCTATATTGTAATCCTTGGAGCCTGTGACTATTTATGTTATAGGACATGGGACTGAAGGGGAAGATGGAGTTCAGGTTGTTGATGAGTTGACCTTGAGATGGGGAGACGACCTGGACTCTCCCACTGGGCTCAGTGTAATCACAAGGGTCCACATGAGAGGAGGAGGAAGAGGAGAGTGGGGATTAGAGCAGCGTAGTGGGAGGGAGAGTCCACCAGCCACTGCGGGCTTTGAAAGTGGAGGAAGGCCAGAAGCCACGGAATGCAGGTGGCCTTTAGGGGCTGGAGAAGTCAATGGAACTGATTCTCCCGAGTCTCCAGAGGGAATGCAGCCCTGCAGATGCCTTGATTGTAGCCCAGGAAGAACAGGGTCTGATTTCTGTCAACAGAAGTGTTCTCTCCCGCCGCCGTGTTTGTGATAATTTTCTGCAGCAACAACAGGAAACAACACAGGAATCCAGGTCAAGGACAAGTTAAAAAACCAAACAAGAGGGTTGGCTACCCTAAGGTCAGCAAGGGTGCACTGCTGATGCCACCACCAGGCTGGAGCTGCATAGGGAGGGATCCACAGGGAGAGTCGGGGGTGGAGGGTGAGAGAGAGAGAGAGCATTAGGTCATAGAGCAGGGGAGTGAGTTCTCAGCTCAGGTGTGAGGGGAGCTGTGACAAGGAAGAACCTCCCTGAGGAAACTGCCTCTTCTTCCAGGTCTATTTGGGAAACCTTCACTCTCAGCCCAGCCGGGCCCCACGGTTCGCACAGGAGAGAACGTGACCTTGTCCTGCAGCTCCAGGAGCTCATTTGACATGTACCATCTATCCAGGGAGGGGAGGGCCCATGAACCTAGGCTCCCTGCAGTGCCCAGCGTCGATGGAACATTCCAGGCTGACTTTCCTCTGGGCCCTGCCACCCACGGAGGGACCTACACATGCTTCAGCTCTCTCCATGACTCACCCTATGAGTGGTCAGACCCGAGTGACCCACTGCTTGTTTCTGTCACAGGTGAGGAAAGCCCATGCCTGTCCCATGTCCTGTGATCCTAGAGCCTTAGCTGAGGAGCTTCCTGCTGATGATGGAGAGAAGCATGGACAGATGCAGAGAGAACACGCAGCATGGTGTGAGGGAGGGATCAGGGCACAGGATGGCAGACAGGGCACCTCCAAACCCTCCTGCACGGCCTGCATGGAGGCCCGCGGCCAGGGCTCCAGGCACCCAGGCAGATGGAGAAAGTGGTCAGGACAGACCCAGAGGAGGGAGACTCGGCTCAGTTTGGGGAGATCAGAGGCTCCTCAGACCCTCAACCTTACCCATTTCCCAGAAGCCCATACTGGCCTCTCACCCACACAGAGATGTCATCACCAGCAACCCCTACACCCTTTTCTTTCCGTTTGAAAAAACATTTATTGAGGTTAAATGTAACTATATAATTTGCCACCTTTACCATTTTTAAAAGTAAAATCTAGTGGTCATAAATTCCTTTATATGCAGGGTGCAGTGGCTCACAGTTATAATCTCGGTGCTTTGAGAGGCCAAGGAAGGTGGATCATTTAAGATCAGAGGCTCGAGATCAGCCTGGCCAACATGAGGGAAATTCATCTTTACTAAACAGACAAGAAAAATTGGCTGGGCATGCTGGCATGCACCTGTATTCCTAGCTACATGGGAGGCTGAGGCAGGAGAAGTACGTAAGCCCAGGAGGCAGAGGTTGCACTGAGCTGAGATCAGGCCACTGCACTGCAGCCTGGGAGACAGAGAGAGATTCTGTCTCTAAATAAATAAATACATCTATATTCTTTTTTATTGTTGTTGTTACACTCCACCCTTTACTTCCTGCCCTCTGGTAGCCACCATTCTACTCTCTACCTTCATGAGATCCACCTTTTAGCTCCTGTATATGGGTGAGAAATGGGAATCTTTGCAATGACCTCCAGTTCCATCCATGTGGCTGCAAATGTCAGGATGTTATTCTTTCTACGGATGAGTACTCTCCACTGTGTGTGTGTACTACATTCTCTCTATCCATTCACCCACTGACGGGCAGGTAAGTTGACTCCACATCTTGGCTACTGTGAACAGTGCTGCACCAATCGTATGAGTGCAGATATCACTTCGATACACTGATGTCCTTCCCTTTGGGTTTACACCCAGTAGTGGAATTGCTAGATCCTATCAACAGGGTACCAGGGTTCTCCTTTCTCTACCACCTTGCCAGCATTCATTTTGTCTGTGTTTCAGATAAAAGCCACTTTAATGGGATGAGATGATAGCTCACTGTGATTTCAATTGGCATGATTAGTGATACTGAGCACTTTTTCATGTACATGTTCGCCATTTGTACGTTTTGTTTGTTGAGAAATGTCTGTTCAGGTCTTTTACTAATTGTTAAATTAAATTCATTGTTTTATACCGTTGCTTGAGTTTTATGTATATTCTAGTTATTAATCCCCTCTCAGATGCATACTTCACAAATATTTTCTCCCAATTTGTCTCTTCTTCACTTTGTTGGTTGCTTCCTTTGCGGTGCAGAAGCTGCTTACTTTGATGTAATCCCGAAGGTCTATTATTTTGTTTTGATTTCTTGTGTTTTTGAGATTTCAAATAAAATGTCTTTCCTCAGACAAATGTCCTGGAGCATTTCCCCACTCTTTCCTTTTAGACGCTTAATGGTTTCAGGCCTTAAGTGTTTCTTCCATTTTCATTTGATTTCTGTGTATGGTGAGAGGTAGAGGTGCAGTTTCATCAACTGCATGTAGATACCAGTTTTCCCTGCTCCATTTATTGAAAAGACCGTCGTTTCCTGATTGCAGGTTCTTGGCACCTACAATCGTCAAAGTCCATTGGATGTGAATGCATGAATTATATCTGTGTTCTTCATTCTGCTCCATTGCTCTAAGGGCCTTTATGCCAATGTCATGCTGTTGTGCTTACTACAGCTTTGTAACATATTTTTAAGTCAGGGAGTGTGAGGCCTCCAGCACCTGTTTTGTCTTTATACCTCGAAATCTCAGGACACTGGGCATCATTTAACAATGATGATGGAGAAGGGGACGCCAGGACTCCTAGGGCCCAACATTAGATAACAGAGTGTTGGCCATGAACCAACCTCAAAGATTTCCTTTGAGTAGAAGACAGGCATCCTCATTTCCTCACCTCTCTCCTGTCCTGTGTTCTAGGAAACTCTTCAAGTAGTTCATCTTCACCCACTGAACCAAGCTCCAAAACTGGTGAGTAAAGATCCCTCTTATCTCTGCTTTTGGAAACCTGGGGAGGTTGGTATCTTGGATTCAAGCATTGGCTCAGCACCTCCCAGCTCTGTGATTGTGGGCCTGTCTTCTAACATCTCTGACCCCCAGACACTACAACAGCGAAGGGTATCTGAGGACAGCAAAGGGCTCAGTGAAGTCTCTTCATTTCAAATTTCTGCAGCTGAGACCTCCTCCAAGCTAGACGGACGAGTACAAATCTGACATCCTTCTCAGGGATAATGTGGTGTTTTTTCTGCCTGCATTCCAAATTGGAGGATAAATTCGAGGGGACTTGAGAGAGGGAGGGGAAGGGAACATCTGATGAGGGAAAGGTGATTTAGAGAAGTTCCACTTGCCAAGGAATGAGCCCCTGTTGGTCATGATGCGACCTTGGCTGAGTCAGCAGAGCAAGAGCCTTGCAGTAAGAAGGAACGTAGTTCATCCACGAATATGACACTTCCACTCACTCACTTATTCAGCCACTGCCCTGTGCTCTGACTGTACAGTGTGGAACCCTTTCCTGCTGTTGCCATAATAAATCTCCACAAACTTCATGGATGACAACAACACAGCTTTTAAAATTATCTTACAGTGTTATAGCTCAGAAATATGAAATGCATTTCACTGGGCTAAAATCAAGGTGACTGCGAGGCTGCCTTTTCTCTGAAGGTTCCAGGCGAGAATCGGCTTTTCACATTTCCCAGCTCCCAGAGGTTCCCACGTTCCTTGGTATCTGGTCCCCATCCTCCTTCCTCGAAGTCCACAAAAGCTCGTCACATCTCTCACGTGGCATCACTCAGATCCCTCTTCCTTACCTCACCTCTTTCTCTAAGTGTTGCTCTGACTTTTTCTTCCTCTTTTAAAGACTTTGGGATTCTATTGAGTTTACCAAGATAATCCATCACAATCTCCCTAAAATCACCCAAGATAACCTCTTTTTAAGTTCAGCTGATTAGCAACCATAATTCCATCTGCAATCTTTATTCCTCCTTTCATGTAAAATAACATATTCACAAGCTATGGAGGCTAGGACAGGGACATTTTGGGGGTGGGCCAGCATTCTCCTGCCTTCCACAAATGGTAAACACGATGCATTTGGCCTCTGCTCTTAGGACACTGACATTGCAGATGGGCAAATGGGAGGGCAGAATATGAATGCACAAGTGGACCAGTAATGATTGATCCATTGGGAAGCATCCGTGCATGAAATCTATTTACCTATTTATTTATCTATTTATCTATTTATGTATTTATTTATTTGCGGCGAAGTCATTCTCTGTCCCCGGGCTGGAGTGCAGTGGCATGACCTCAGCTCACCACAACCTCCGCCTCCCGGGTTCAGGCGATTCTCCTGCCTCAGCCTCCTGACTAGTTGTGATTCCAGTCCCCTCCACCACACCCAGCTAATTTTCTTTTATATTTTTTAGTAGAGATGGAGTTTCACCATGTTGCGCAGATTGTCTCCAACTCCCAACCTCAAGTGATCCGACCGTCTCAGCATCCCAAAATGCTGGGACTCAAGGCGTGAGCCACTGCGCCCAGCCGAAATTTAAAATAAATAATAAAGAATTCTAAGTGTATAATTTCAGGAGACAGAGAAAGTCTCACTAATCAGATAATATTTGTGACCATAATGAAAAAAAAAAGTAGATTCAACCCCTGGAAGATGGGCGGAAGGATTTTCCACACACAGCTGTCAGCCGTGAAGGCACAAATGTGAAAACAATCTGATGTGGAAGGAAGAGGCTCTGCATTCAAATGCTGGGAATGACGTGGGGAGAATGACAAGATGACTGTAGGGAGACGGAGAGCACACTGGGTACACAGGAAACTAAGGAGCAACAAGGAGCGTGTGTTTGACACTCACAGCCATTGGATTCACCTCGGGGTAACCAGGAATCCCTACATGATTAATATGACTGACATGAAAATAAGGGACGCCCAAGTGCGTAACTGGAATCTAGGAGACCGTGGAAAAGGCAATTCCCGCCCCACTGGTGAAATGTGGTGCTGATTTAGACACTAAATGAATGAAGTAGATGGGTATAAGATATGTCTGTGAGGTAGAATCATTTGTAGGGAGGTCTTGCTGGATTTGATAATGCCTACTTATTTAATTTTGAATATATTAATTTCTTTCTGAGATTTATTTTTCCTACATGTAAATCAATATCTGGCAGAGGAGTGATAGATAGATGAGGGGTGGTGCAAATGAAGGGACTTATTATAGCATAATATACAAGTCTGTGAATGGGAGCTTACGCCTGTAACCCAACACTTTGGGAGGCCAAGGCGTTTGGATCACTTGAGGTCAGGAGTTTGAGACCAGCCTGGCCAACATGGAGAAACCCCATGCTCTTTTTAGCAACCAGTCCTAGGGACCTCATGGAGAACTTGCCAACCACGTCTCATGGGGACAGCATTAATGTATTCATGATGGATCCACCCCCATAACTGGAACGTCTCTCAATAGGCCCAGCCTCCCACACTGCGAGATAAGTGTCAACGTGAGGTTTGGCGGGGTCAAACATTCAAACTATAGCAGTGGTATCCCCAGCATGTTCTCTGATTATTTTGAGAACTATAACTGAGAAAGCAGGAGAAAGCTGGGTATCCTGCCATCGGGGAACTTGTCCTAAACAGATGTTGTATGTGCTTAGCTGGCAACCAAGAAATGAGAGACAATCCATAAAGAGGAACTGCTATAATTAGCTTCTTATTGGATTCCCACCTTCCCCCAGGTATCCGCAGACACCTGCACATTCTGATTGGGACCTCAGTGGCTATCATCCTCTTCATCATCCTCTTCTTCTTTCTCCTTCATTGCTGCTGCTCCAACAAAAAGAGTAAGTCTCACGAAGCAGAGGTCAGAGAGCTCAGGACCATGTGGGGAAGCAGGATGGGAGCACACTGGTGTGTGTTCCTGACTGGCAGGATGGTCCCTGGACCAAGGCAGGAGCCACAGAGGCAGGGCTTTCTAGAGAGAGCACCAGACACCCTGCCCCTGCCTTCAGCTCACAGACCATTGCCTGATTCTGAACTGTATCCTCACGTCCCCTGCAGCCACTGACATCCAGGAGAAGGTTCCATGACAGGCAGAAAGGGGAGACAGAATCACTGGGATGGGAACTCAGAGCTATTCATGGGATGGGTCCTTGAGCTCAGAGAGATAGAATGTCTGGGTCTGGCTGATGACAGCTGAGGGACCTCAGGCACCTACGGCCTCCCGCTGTGTGTTGGTGTCTGCTCATGAAATGAGGACCCAAAAGTGCCCTTCCAGCTGTTTTGATGACTTCTATCTCCTACAGATGCTGCTGTAATGGACCAAGAGCCTGCCGGGGACAGAACAGTGAACAGGGAGGTAGGTTCTCCTCAGCCCAGCCTCATGGATTGAGTCTCATTCCCTAATAGTCTTGAAGAATGTGAGCACCCTCCCTCACTCAGCATTTCCCTCTCTCCAGGACTCTGATGATCAAGACCCTCAGGAGGTGACATATGCACAGTTGGATCACTGCGTTTTCACACAGACAAAAATCACTTCCCCTTCTCAGAGGCCCAAGACACCTCCAACAGATACCACCATGTACATGGAACTTCCAAATGCTAAGCCAAGATCATTGTCTCCTGCCCATAAGCACCACAGTCAGGCCTTGAGGGGATCTTCTAGGGAGACAACAGCCCTGTCTCAAAACCGGGTTGCTAGCTCCCATGTACCAGCAGCTGGAATCTGAAGGCATCAGTCTTCATCTTAGGGGATCGCTCTTCCTCACACCACAAATCTGAACATGCCTCTCTCTTGCTTACAAATGTCTAAGGTCCCCACTGCCTGCTGGAGAGAAGACACACACCTTTGCTTAGCCCACAATTCTCTATTTCACTTGACCCCTGCCCACCTCTCCAACTGAACTGGCTTACTTCCTAGTCTACTTGAGGCTGCAATCACACTGAGGAACTCACAATTCCAGACATACAAGAGGCTCCCTCTTAACATGGCACTGAGACACGTGCTGTTCCACCTTCCCTCATGCTGTTTCACCTTTCCTCAGACTATTTTCCAGCCTTCTGTCAGTCAGCAGTGAAACTTATAAAATTTTTTGTGATTTCAATGTAGCTGTCTCCTTTTCAAATAAACATGTCTGCCCTCATTGCTTTAGGTAATGTGACACTATTCGCTGAAAGAAACCGCTGTTATCATTACCATGTCCACATAACCCCATCTGTTATCCACTGGGTTCTCTCCCCTGGACTCTGAGCTTCTGGAAGCAGGGTGGAGCCTCATTTGTCTCTGGGACTCCAATTTCCATCCAAAGATGCAGCACATAGGAGGTTCCAAGGATCATGAATCACATGAACAAGTGATATTCTTACTCTCTGCAGACCTGGAAAGCTGGCAGAGTCATTCCACGATGAAACATTTGTAGAGTCATAGGCCTTGTTAGTCTCATCTCCATGGGGACACATATCAACACATCATCTTTCATGCTATATATATATATACAGTCGCTCCTCCGTATCTGTGGGGTTTACAGGTGTTTATTGAACCAACTATAAATAAAAAATATTCAGAGAAGAAAATCCACAAACTTTCAAAAAGCAAAACTATGTTGAAGGGACACAAATGAAGCAGTGTGTAGGCCATATCAGGAATTATAAGTAATCTAGAGATGATTTCATGTACACAGGAGGATGTGCATGGGTTATATGCAAATGCTGTGCCATTTCATGTAAGAGGCTTGAGCATCTGCAGATTTTGGTATCTGAGTGGAGATCCTGAAACCAATCACCCAGGAATAGTGAAGGATGACCGTATAAAACTGTTATTTCTCAATTTTAAATATAAATCATAAAAAAATTATAAACTAGATAAAAACAAGAAGTGTTTTTATAGTGTGAGAATAAGTTTAGATTTATTTTTTCCTACGTGTAACCCTTTGGTTTAATATTATTTATTGAGAAGACATTCTATGCCACCTTAAACCACAGGGCAGCCTTTGTCAACTCTAAAGGGACTGTGTGTACACGGATGTATTTTAGACACTGTTTCTGCTAAGGGGCTCTCTGTGTCCACACTCTTGAGGATGCTGCACTTCATGTAGCCTTATAGAACCCTTTAAATTTAGTAGCCAGAGCCCTCTAATTTGTTATTATAGGCTACTTGCTATTTTTTTTTTCTTAAGGCGGAATCTTGCTCTGTCACCCAGGCTGGACTGTAGTAGTGCAATCTCAGCTCACTGCAAACTCCGCCTCCCAGGTTCAAGCGATTCTCGTGCCTCAGCCTCTTGAGTAGCTGGCATTACAGGTGTCTGCCACCAGGCACGGCTAATTTTTGAATGTTTAGCAGAGACACGGTTTCACTATGTTGGCCAGGCTGCTCTCAAACTCCTCATCTCAGTTGATTCGCCCACCGCGGCTTCCCAACATGCTGGGGGAAACTTGATTTTCTATAGCATTATGTTACTGGATATTTCTGTAAAATTTAAAATGAGGGAGGGACAGAGACAGAGAGAGAGCAAACTCCAGAGTTGGGACTCTGGAATCTTGGGTCATGAGACAAATTATAGATAAAACTATAAAAATCCAGAATTTACATGTGTGGTTTTTGCTGATAAAGTACAATTCGAAGATTGTAAATAATTGCATAATCCTTCCCTGGGAATTTAAATCATTTTAACTGGTTCTGCTGTAATACTAGAAATACAAGCATGAAAAATTCTAATGGTTTATTAGTCACAATGACTCTGAAAACATTAATAATACCTATTAGATATTTTGCATATTACACATGAAGAAGAGTTTGAATCTCAGATAAAAACAATAAAAATACATGAAAAGTTTTTCACGTTAGCACAGATTTTAGGCATCCTGTGTTCCGGAGGTTGGATCTGAGACGTGTTTTGAGTTGGTCATAGTGAAGGACACGAGGTGTCAATTCTAGTGAGAACAATTTCCAGGAAGCCGTGTTCTGCTCTTGAGCGAGCACCCACTGGGCCTCATGAAAGGTAGAAAGAGCCTGCGTACGTCACCCTCCCATGATGTGGTCAACATGTAAACTGCATGGGCAGGGAGCCAAATAACATCCTGTGCGCTGCTGAGCTGAGCTAGGGGTGCGGCCGCCTGTCTGCTCCGGCACCACCATGTCGCTCATGGTCATCAGCATGGCATGTGTTGGTGAGTCCTGGAAGGGAATAGAGGGAGGGAGCGCGGGGATGGAGATCTGGGCCCAGAGGTGGAGATATAGGCCTGGAGGTGGAGTTATGGGCCTGGAGTGGAGATATGGGCCTGGAGGTGGAGATATGGACCTGGAGTGGAGATATGAGCCTGGAGTGGAGATATGGGCCTAGAGTGGAGATATGGGCCTGGAGGTGGAGATCTGGGCCTGGAGTGGAGATCTGGGCCTGGATTGGAGATATGGGCCTGGAGTGGAGATATGAGCCTGGAGTGGAGATATGGCCCTGGAGTGGAGATAGGGGCCTGGAGTGCAGATATGGGCCTGGAGTGGAGATGTGGGTCTGGAGTGCAGATATGGGCCTGGAGGTGGACATAAGGGCCTGGAGTGGAGATATGGGCCTAGAGTGGAGATATGAGCCTGGAGATGGAGATATGGGCCTGGAGTGGAGATATGGGCCTGGAGGTTGGAGATATGGGCCTGGAGTGGAGATATGGGCCTGGAGCGGAGATATGGGCGTGGGGTGGAGATATGGGCCTTGAGTGGAGATATGGGACTGAAGTGGAGATATGGGTGTGGGGTGGAGATATGGGACTGGAGTGCAGATATGGGCATGGGGTGGAGATATGGGACTGGAGTGGAGATATGGGCGTGGAGTGGAGATATGGGACTGGAGTGGAGATATGGGCGTGGGGTGGAGATATGGGCCTGGAGTGGAGATATGGGCGTGTGGTGAAGATATGGGCCTGGAGTGGAGATATGGGCCTGGAATGGAGATATGGGCGTGGGGTGGAGATATGGGACTGGAGTGGAGATATGGGCCTGTTGTGGAGATATGGGCTTGGAGTGGAGATATGATCCTGGAATGTAGTTATGGGCCTGGAGGTGGAGATCTGGGCCCGGGGTGGAGATATGGGCCTGGAGTGGAGATATGGGCCTGGAGAGGAGATATGGGCCTGGAGTGGAGATATGGGCCTGGACTGGAGTTATGGGCCTGGGGTGGAGATCTGAGCCTGGATTGCAGATGTGGGCCCAGATTGGCTATATGGGCCTAGGGTGGGAATATCAGCCTGGAGTGGAGATATGTGCCTGGAGTGGAGATATGGGCTTGGGGTGGGGATATGGGCCTGGAGGCTGGGTCTCTGCACAGCCGAGAGCCCTGTTCTTGGGTGCAGGTAGGCACTGAGGGTGAGTTTCCCTTCGGCCCAGGAAGGGCCTGGCTACCAAGACTCACAGCCTAGTGGGGATAGCAAGGGAGGCCTGGTTTGCCTGCAGATGGATGGTCCATCATGGTCTTTCTTTCCAGGGTTCTTCTGGCTGCAGGGGGCCTGGCCACATGAGGGTAAGTCCTTCTCCAAACCTTAAGGTGTCATCTCCCCACATAAGAGGATTTTCCTGAAACGGGAGGGAAGTCCTGTCGGGGAGTCTCTCTTAAACTAGAAAGAGGGGACCCTGGGGTGCTTGGCCCACAGTTCCGACCTCGCCTCCCCAGCCTTTCATTTCCTTGGCAGAGTCAAGTTCTGTGGGGACCAGGGTTACACTAGGGTGCTCAAAGCTGGGTTGTGTGGTGGGGAAGTGGTAGGAACAGCAGATCCTCTGAGGACAAAGGTGTTACTCACACACTTCAGCGTTTCCATGATGGTAGGGGCTGCAGTGTGGCTGCTCTCATTCTACCAGAAGAGGTGGGAAACCACAGCCATGGCCCTGACATTCCAAATCCTCTGATGGGGGCTCAGTTGTTTATTTTCATTCAGGCATCTGCTGATATTCCATTCTCAAAGGACATGCCCTCCACCCCATGTCTACCCTGTGTTGTTTTATGTGAGTAATCTTACAGTATTAAAATCTAGTAGGAGTCTCTTACTCAGCACTTGCTCAAAGTTCTCAGCTGACATTTTTGTTGTAGGGAGACACCTTGTCTTTGTGGGATGAGTCCTTCCTTTAGCCCTAGGCACCAAGGTGTGATAGCAGCCATAGAAATGTGGAAAGTGGGGAGAATCTTCTGAGCACAGGGAGGGAGGGGCGGCTGCACATCCTCCTCTCTAAGGTGGCGCCTCCTTCTCCCCAAGGTGGTCAGGACAAGCCCTTGTTTTCTACCTGGCCCAGCCTTGTGGTGCCTCCAGAACATGTGACTCTTCGGTGTCACTCTAATCTTGGGTTTAACAACTTCAGTCTGTACAAGGATGATGGGGTGCCTGTCCCTGAACACTACAACAGAATATTCTGGAAAAGCCTTTTCATGGGCCCTGTGACCCCGTCACACACAGGGACCTATAGATGCCGGGGTTCACACCCACACTCCCCCAGTGGGTGGTCGGCACCCAGCAACCCCCTGCTGATCATGGTCACAGGTCAGAGGGCTCCTGTCTGGGATTCTCCTTGTCCCACCTCCTGAATCCCAGAGCTTCCGGTAGGCATGTCCTTGAGGGTCCCTTCACGCAGGCCCTGACTGTATTTGGGGTAAAGGGGGATTGAATACAGGGAAATGGGTACTGTGGTGAGAAGAATAATTGTCCCCAGTGATGACTACATTCTAATCCCTGGAGTCTGTGACTATTTATGTTATAGGGGAAGGGACTGAAGGGGAAGATGGAGCTCAGGTTGTTGATGAGTTGACCTTGAGATGGGAGAAGGCCTGGACTGTCCCCCTGGGCTCAGTGTAGTCACAAGGGTCCACATGAAAGGAGGAGGAAGAGGAGAGTGGGGATTAGAGCAGCATAATGGGAGTCTCCATCAGCTTTGAAGGTGGAGGAAGGCCAGGAGCCATGAATGCAGGTGGCCTATAGAGGCTGGAAAAGTCAAGGAACTGATTCTCCTGAGTCTCCAGAGGGAACGAAGCCCTGCAGGTGCCTTGATTTTAGCCCAGGAAAAACAGGGCCCGACTTCTGCCTCCAAAAATGGAAGGGGTCAGTGTGCTCTCTCCTGCTGCCATGCTGCTGATAATTTTCTACAGCAGCAACAGGAAACCAACACCGGAACCCAGCTCGAGGAAAAGTTAAGAAAGGACACAAGGATAGCCGGGCGTGGTGGCAGGTGCATGTAATCCTAGCGACTTGGGAGGCTGAGGGCAGGAGAATCACTTGAACCCAGGAGACAGAGGTTGCAGTGAGCCTAGACCACACCACTTCACTCCAGCCTGGGCAAAGGAGTGAGACTCTGTCTCCAAAATTAATTAATTAAAGAAACCAAACAAGGAGAAGGTTGGCTACACCAAGATCAGCAAGTGTGGGATTATGATGCCACCACCAGGCTCCATCCACATAGGGAGCGGTTGATACTCCTCCAACCAGCACCAGGAGCCAGGCTATGGAAGCTGGTACAGGCATGGCAAGAGTGGCTCCCAGTCCCCACCAGGAAAAGGGTGTGTGGACACTGGTGCCTGCCTTACTGTTCAGTTCATACCTCCTGCCAAGGATTCCAATTCGTCCAAAAGAGATTGAACCAGGCTGCTAAGAGCCTGGATGTGCAGCCTATCCTGGTTCCTCTTCCACCCCCACATAGACAGCAGGAAAGACATTAGTTCAAAATAGATACAACAGCCGAAGAGATGAGGCTGAGCCCAGCGGCAAGGCAATCAGAGGTTACTAGAGACAGAGGGACAGAGAAGAGGGAGGGAGACAGATGGAAGGACCTGCACCAGGAGTTATGGGCACAGAAAAGAACATGAAGACACAGAGAGGAAGGAGAGAGACAGACACCAGGGAGGGGAAGCCTCACTCAATCCAGGTGCCATGGATGGGATGATAAAGAGAGACACCTTCTAAATTCACAAACTCTCTTCCTAGGATTCCGCAGAAAACCTTCCCTCCTGGCCCACCCAGGTCGCCTGGTGAAATCAGAAGAGACAGTCATCCTGCAATGTTGGTCAGATGTCATGTTTGAGCACTTCCTTCTGCACAGAGAGGGGACGTTTAACGACACTTTGCGCCTCATTGGAGAGCACATTGATGGGGTCTCCAAGGCCAACTTCTCCATCGGTCGCATGAGGCAAGACCTGGCAGGGACCTACAGATGCTACGGTTCTGTTCCTCACTCCCCCTATCAGTTTTCAGCTCCCAGTGACCCTCTGGACATCGTGATCACAGGTGAGAGTGTCCAGACATTCTTCTCATTGTCATTCGGACACAGAGTGAATGATCCAGGACTTGGAGGCCCAGGTGGTTGTAAGGAAGATGAGCTTGGTATTCTTATGGAGAGAGACTGACTTGGTGAGGTCTGTACCAACAGAGACAGAGAAACAGGAGACACAAGTACAGACCAGGTGTCATAACAGAGGACAGACACAGGGGCCATTCCGAGAGTTAGAAAAGACAGAAGGAGTTAAAGGAGACAGACAGACAGACATGTCCCAGAGAGAGGTGTCCCTCCATGCTGACTTTGCTCAGAGACCTGGCACAGATTACAAGTTTCATTTCTGTTTTACCTCCACAAAGTGTTCTCTACCAGGAGAACCCAAGGACACCCATATTTCTGACCTGAGTTGGGCCCTGTGGCCTCAGGCCTTCTGGCACCTACAGATGCCGTGTTTATTCTGACACCTCTGCCTTCCAAGTAATGGAGAGTAATCGTCCCAGGATATCATGGCCCCAGAACACCAACCCCTGTATGCTGTGTGAACTTGTAGTCTCCAGACTGGATTCTGAGGCTCACATTCCAAATAACCCCACATATGAAAGGATCACTGAGAGGCACAGAGAAAAATCAGGAACACCAAAAAGCAAAGACATAAACACACAGAGAATGGGCCAGAGGAAGGAGATTGAGAGACTCACAGACACATAAAGAGAGAGAAAAGAGGGCAGAGGAGTGGTGAGAATGATGGAAGGGAGCAGAGAAAAGCACTAAAATTAGAGTCCTGAGGGAGAGGCACAAGGACATAGAAAGATGGAGATGTGGGGATGAATTGCAGAGATTCCAAAGAGAACTAGAGAGACCGAGAGGCAGAGCAAGACAGATGATAGATGGATAGATATAGATAGATGATAAATAGGTAGATGATAGATACTAGGTTATAGATACATAGATGATGATTGATTGATTCATTAATAGATGAGACGTAGAGATGATGATGAAGACAGATAGATAATACATAGAGATAGAGAGGCAGACAGAAGTCATAGAGAGAGAGATGATACATAGATATAGATAACAGATGATTGATGGATAGATAGACAAGTGATAGATACATAGATGATATATAGATATAGATGACAAGTAGAGAATTTGTAGATAGGCACCGAATAGATAAATAGATAGATCAACAGATAATAGATAGAAATATGCAGAAAGTTATGAACAGGACACAAAGTGAGAAACTTAGAATTTAAAAAAGTAACATCAAGTCAACCAATCCAAGGAGAGTCAGAGAGAATAAAACAATCCAAAAACGGAAAACATATCTAGAGGTGGGGAAGCGAGGTCAGAGACCTAGAGAGACAGAGAAGGTGGAAGGAGGAAATAGACATGAAGAGAGATGGGGTGGAGGGTGAGAGAGAGAGAGAGAGAGCATTAGGTCATAGAGCAGGGGAGTGAGTTCTCAGCTCAGGTGAAGGGAGCTGTGACAAGGAAGATCCTCCATAAGGAAAATGCCTCTTCTCCTTCCAGGTCTATATGAGAAACCTTCTCTCTCAGCCCAGCCGGGCCCCACGGTTCTGGCAGGAGAGAGCGTGACCTTGTCCTGCAGCTCCTGGAGCTCCTATGACATGTACCATCTATCCACGGAGGGGGAGGCCCATGAACGTAGGTTCTCTGCAGGGCCCAAGGTCAACGGAACATTCCAGGCCGACTTTCCTCTGGGCCCTGCCACCCAAGGAGGAACCTACAGATGCTTCGGCTCTTTCCATGACTCTCCCTACGAGTGGTCAAAGTCAAGTGACCCACTGCTTGTTTCTGTCACAGGTGAGGAAAGCCCATGGCTGTCCCATGTCCTATGATCCTAGAGCCTTAGCTGAGGAGCTTCCTGCTGAGGATGGAGAGAAGCATGGACAGATGCAGAGAGAAGATGCATCCTCGGTGTGAGGGAGGGATCAGGGCACAGGATGGCCGACAGGGCACCTCCAAACCCTCCTACATGGCCTGCATGGAGGCCCGCAGCCAGGGCTCCAGGCACCCAGGCAGATGGAGAAAGCGGTCAGGAGAGACCCAGAGGAGGGAGACTGGGCTCAGTTTGGGGAGATCAGAGGTTCCCTCAGCCCCTCAACCTTACCCATTTCCCAGAAGCCCATCCTGGCCTCTCACCCACACAGAGATGTCATCACCAGCAACCCCTACACCCTTTACTTTTCTTTGAAGAAATATTTATTGAGGATAAATATACCTATATAGCTTACCACCTTTAACATTTTTTTTTTTTTGAGGCAGAGTCTAGCTCTGTCCCCTATGCTGGAGTGCAGTGGCACAATCTCAGCTCACTGCAACTTCCGCCTCCTGGGTTCAAGCGATTCTCCTGCCTCAGCCACCTGAGTAGCTGGTGCTACAGGTGCGCACCACCACGCCAGGCTACTTTTTGTATTTTTAGTAGAGAGGTGGTTTCACCATGTTGGTCGAGCTGGTCTGCAACTCCTGACCACGTGATCCACCCGCATCTGCCTCCCAAAGTGCTGGGATTACAGGCATGAGCCACCACGCCCAGCCACATTTACCATTTTTAAGTGTAAAGTCTAGTGGTCATAAATACATTTATATATATATATATATATACATTTTTTTTACCCTCCACCCTTTTCTTCCTGCCCTCCAGTAGCCACCATTCTACTCTCTACCTTCATGAGATCCACCTTTTAGCTCCTGTATATGGGTGAGAAATGGGAATCTTTGTAATGACCTCCAGTTCCATCCATGTGGCTGCAAATGACAGGATGTTATTCTTTCTATGGATGAGTAGTCTCCACTGTGCGTATGTACTACATTCTCTCTATCCATTCACCCACTGATGGGCAGGTAGGTTGACTCCTCATCTTGGCTACTGTGAACAGTGCTGCACCAATCATACGAGTGCAGATATCACTTCGATATATTGATTTACTTTCCTTTGGATATAAACCCAGTAGTGAAATTGCTGGATACTATGAAAGTTCTCTTTTTTTTTTTTTTCTTTTTTGAGAAAGAGTTTCCCTCCTTAGCCCAAGCTGGAGTCAAAGTGGTGCGACCTTGGCTCATTGCAACCTCCGCCTCCTGGGTTCCAATGATTTTCCTGCCTCAGCCTCCCTAGTAGCTGGGATTACAGGTGCACGCCACCATGCCTGGCTACTTTTTGGTTTTTTTAGTATAGATGCGGTTTCCCCATGTTGGCTGGGCTGCTCTCAAACTCATGACCTCAACTGAGGTGCCCGCCTCAGTCTCCCAAAGTGCCGGGATTACAGGCCTGATCCACCACACCCAACCTCTTTTTAGTTCTTTAAAGGACTTCCATACTTTTCTCCGTAATCGCTGTACTAATTTACACTCCTCCCAACAGGGTACCAGGGTTCTCCTTTCTCTAGCACTTTGCCAGCATTTCTTTTGCCTGTCTTGCAGCTAAAAGCCATTTTATTTATTTCATTTTATTTTGAGATGGAGTTTTGCTCTTCTCACCCAGGCTGGAGTGCAGTGGCGCTATCTCGGCTCACCACAACCTCCACCTCCCAGGTTCAAGCGATTCTCCTGCCTCAGCCTCCCGAGTAGCTGGAATTACAGGCACACGCCACCACGCCCGACTAATTTTTGTATTTTTAGTAGAGACAGCGTTTCTCTATGTGGGTCATACTGGTCTCAAACTCCCGACCTTATGAGATTCACCCACCTCAGGCTCTCAAAGTTCTAGGATGACAGACGTGAGCCACCTCACCCGGCCTAAAAGCCATTTTAATGGGGTGAGATGAAAACTCACTTTGATTTTAATTTGCATTTCTCTGATGATGAGTGATACTGAGCACTTTTTCATATGTGGGGAAATTTCATGTCTTTTGCTCCTTTTTCAATTAAATCATTTGTTTTATTGAGTTGTTTGAGCTTCTTATATTTCTAGTTATTAATCCCATCTCAGATGCATAGTTTGCACATATTTGCTCCCAATCTGTGGGTTGTCTCTTCACTTTGTTGGTTTATTTTTAGCAGTGCAGAAGTTGCTTAGTTTGAGGTAATCCCAATGGTCTATTTTTGCTTCGATTACTTGTGTTTTCAAGGTTTAAAACAAAATGTCTTCCTTCAGACAAACGTCCTGGAGCATTTCCCCAATATTTCTTCTACGTGTTTCATAGGTTCAGGCCTTAGACTCACATCTTTAATCCATTTTCATTTGATTTTTGTGTATGGTGACAGGTAGAGGTGCAGTTTCATTCCTCTGCATGTAGATGTCCAGGTTTCCCTGCACTGTTTATTGAAAAGACTGTCCTTTCCTGATTGTGAGTTCTTGGCACCTTTGTCAAAGTCCATTGGATGGGCTGGGCTTGGTGGCTCACACCTGCAATTCCAGCACTTTGGGAGGCCGAGGCGGGTGGATTACCTGAGGCCAGGAGTTCAAGATCAGTCTGGCCGACGTGATGAAACATCGTCTCCACTAAAAATATAAAAATTAGCTGAGCATGGTGGTCAGCACCTGTAATACCACTACTCAGGAGTTTGAGGCAAGAGAATGATTGAACCCAGGAGGCTGAGGTTGCAGTGAACTGAGATTGCACCTCTGCACTCCAGCCTGAGTGACAGAGCAAGACTCCATCTCAAAAGAAAAAATAAAAAACCATTGGATGTAAATGCATGGAATATATCTGTGTTATTCATTCTGCTCCATTGTTCTATGTGCCTTTCTTTATGCCAATGTCATGCTGTTTTGCTTACTACAGCTCTGTAACATATTTTGAGATCAGGTAGTGTGATGCTCCTGTTTTCTCTTTATACCTTGAAGTCTCAAGACAGTGGGCGTCACATACAAAAATTATGGAAAAAAGGATCCCAGGACTCCCAGGGCCCAATATTAGATAACAGAGTGTTGGCCATGAACCATCCTCAAAGATTTCCACTGAGTAGAGGACAGACACCCTCATTTCCTCACCTCTCTCCTGTCTCATATTCTAGGAAACCCTTCAAATAGTTGGCCTTCACCCACTGAACCAAGCTCCAAAACCGGTGAGTACAGAACCCTCTTATATCCGCTTTTGGAAACCTGGGGAGGTGGAAACCTTGGATTCAGGCGTTGACTCAGCATCTCACAGCTCTGACATTGTACCCCTGTCTTCCACCATCTCCGAACTCCAGATACTCCTACAGCGAAAGGGATCTGGGCCCAACACAGGGCTCAGTGAAATCTCTTCATCTCTCATTTTATGGAGCTGAGACCTCCTACAAGCTAGAAGAATGATTGCCAATCTGACATCCTTCTCAGGAAAAATGCAATGTTTGTTCTGCCTGCATTCCTAACTGGAGGATAAATTCCTGGAGACTTGAGAGAGGGAAGGGAAGGGAACATCTGATGAGGGCGAGGTGTTTTAGAGAAGTTCCACTTGCCAAGGAATGAGCTCCTATAGGTCATGAAGCAACCCTGGCTGACTCAGCAGAGAAAGAGCCTTGCTGTAACAGAGAACAGAGCTCATGCACGCACACTTCGACTCACTGACTCATTCAGCCACGGCCCCATGCTCAGGCTGTGCAGTGTGGAAGCTTTTCCTATTGTTGCCATAACAAATTTCCACAAGATTCGTGGGTGAAAACAAAACGGTTTTTTAATTATCTTGCAGTGCTGTAGCTCAAAGTATGAAGTGCATCTCACTGGGCTAAAATCAAGGTGACAGCAAGGCTGCCTTCCCTCTGAGGATTCCAGGCAAGAATCTGCTTCTCACTTTTCTCAGCTTCTAGAGGCTCCCACATTCCTTCGCTCCTGGTCCCCTTCCTCCTTCCTCAAAGCCCACAAAGGCTGGTCACATCTCACATGGCATCACTCAGACCCTTCTTCCTTACCACACCTCTTTCTCTGAATGCTGCTCTCCCTTCTTCCTCATCTTTTGAAAACTTGGGGATTCTATTGGGTTCACCAAGATGAAAATCCATCATAATCTCCCGGAAATCATTCAGGATACCCTTGTTTTAAGTTCAGCTGATTAGCAACCATAATTCCATCTGCAATCTTCATTCCTCCTTTCCATGTAAAATAAGATATTCACAAGCTATGGAGGCTAGGACAGGGACATTTTGGGGTGGGACAGCATTCTCCTACCTTCCACAAACAGTGAACAAGATGCATTTGGCCTCTGCTCTTGGGACACTGATATTGCAGATGGTTAAATGGGAGGGCAGAAAATGAATGCACAAGTGGACCAATAAATGAATGATCCATTGGGAAGCATCTGTGTATGAAATCTATTTGTTTGTTTCTTCATTTGTTTATTGAGACAGAGTCGCCCTCTGTCTTCCAGGCTACAGTGCAGTGTCACCATCTTGGCTCACTGCAACCTGCACCTTCTGGATCCAAGTGATTCTCCTGCGTCAGCCTCTCAAGTAGCTGGGATTATAGGCAACTGCCACCATGCCCGGCTAATTCTTTTTGTATATTTTTTGTAGAGGATGTTTCACCATCTTCGCCAAGCTTCTCTGAAACTCCCAACCTCAAGTGATCCGACCGTCTCAGCATCCTAAAGTACTGGGATAACTGGCGTGAGCCACTGTGCCCAGCCAGAATTTAAAATAAATAATACATAATGCTGAGTGTATGATTTTGGGTGACAGAGAAGATCTCACTAATCAGATATTTGTGACATTAATGAAAAACACGGATTGAACCCCTGAAAGATTGGTGGAAGGATTTTCCACACACAGCTGTCAGCCGTGAACGCACAAAGGTGAAAATAATCTGATGTTGAAGGAAGAGGCTCTTCCTCAAATGCTGGGAATGACGTGGGGAGAATGACAAGACGACTGTGGAGAGACGGAGAGCACACTGGGTACACAGGAAACTAAGGAGCAACAAGGAGTGTGTGTTTGACACTCACAGCCATTGGATTCACCTCGGGGTAGCCAGGAATCCCTACATGATTAATAGTGACTGACATGAAAATAAGGGAGGCCCAGGTGCGTAACTGGAATCTAGGAGACCGTGGAAAAGGCAATTCCCGCCTCACTGGTGAAATGTGGTGCTGATTTAGACCCTAACTGGGTGAAGCAGATGGATATAAGATATGCTTGTGAGGTGGAATCATTGGCTGGAAAGGCTTGCTGGGTATGATTTTCCTAGTTGTCTAATCCTCGCTTAATTTCTTTCTGAGCTTTATTCCTACTACACATAAATCAATACCTGGCAAAGGAGTGACAGATATATGAGGGGTGGTGGAAATGAAGGGACCTATTACAGCATAATATACAAGTCTGTGAACGGTGGCTCACGCCTGTAACCCAGCACTGCAGGAGGCCAAGGCGGGTGGATCACACGAAGTCAGCAGTTCGAGACCAGCCTGGCCAACATGGTGAAACCCTGTCTCTAGGAAAAACACAAAAATTAGCCGAACATGGTGGTGCATCCCTGTAATGCCAGCTCCTACTCTGGAGGATGAAGCAGGAGAATGACTTCAACCCAGGAGGTGGAGTTTGCAGTGAGTGGAGATTGCATCACTGCACTCCAGCCTGGGTGACACAAGGAGACTCCGTCTCAAAAAATAAAAATAAGAAATGCATAAATATAAATATAATATAACACACGCAAATGACAAAGGGACCTGAATTCCAATCATGATTTTTCTATTTCTCTATAATTACTTCTTTGATCCTTTATCTTATCCATTAGGCAATGAGCCTAAAACCTCTTCCCTATTTGGCTTTCTGTGAGCATGAGATCATATAGAAAATGTGAAAGCCCGCTGAATCCTCCAGCACAGATCCTGGAATACACAAAGTGCTCTGTTCATCACAAAAAAAACATGCCCTCTCACCCAAATCCCCCACCTCACCCCTACTTCCAATCATCTGTGGAGATTCAGATAGGCCATGGGGAGGTAAATTCTAATACTCCTTGGAGTGAGTCCAGATCTTGGAATCAGAGATCAGCGTCAGCACTAGCTCCTGCTCCCCTTTCCTACTAATTCACAGGAGGACAGGTGGTATTGAAGCAATAGATGGCCGAGGGTGTGGTCCTTCCCCCAGCCTCTGGGGTAGAACAGCAGCCTAACATGTGTCTCCTGAGATCACAAAGAGTAGCACGTTTCACATGGGCTTCAACACTATTTCCTGGCCATTTGACATAAGAGAATTCTACTTCGCTTTTTTTATCTTGATTTCACTTTTGTTTCCTTTTCTTGGAGAATGCAAGTTGTTTGACTCAAGAATGCCGTGGATGTATAAATCCTAAAGCACATTCGCTGTGTATCAATCCCAGTGCAGTCTTCCCAGAGAAGACTCTAAACACCTCCTGGACTGCACCTGGGCCTATGCCAATTCCTATCACTCACCGTCACTCCAGGAAGACAGAACACACAGAGAATACATTACACAGGCAGGTTCATTACTAACAGATAAGCAGCGAGTGACAACAGAAGCCTACATTTCAATGTGAGCCAGTCCCTCAAGGCTCAGAAAAGCTGCTCGGGACATATGGAGTCACCCCATTTGCAGTGTAGCTGGGGGAAGCCAGAAAGCAGCCCAGCCTGGGTTTTGTACCCTGGAGCCACAGGAAGCACTCAGCTAAAGCACTGCATGACGCCTTCCTCCAGGAAGAACAGGAAGACAGCCCAGGCTGTTCTGAGACATTCCTCCTGATCTCAGGACGTTGCTGTCGTAGTTTTTTTTTGTTGCTCTAAAGGAAAACTTGAGCCTCGGTAACTTCTAAAGAAAAGAGATCGGTTTGCCTCACCGTTCTGCAGGCTGTACTGGAAGCATGGCACCAGAATCTATTTCTTGTGACGGCCTCAGGCTGCTCCCACTCTGGCAGAAGGGAAGGAGGGTCTGTCTGTGCAGAGACCGCAGAGATCACACGGCAAGAGAGAGAGTAAGGGGGAGGGGGAGCGATGGAGCTTCCAAGCTCTTTTGAACAACCAGCTCTCCGGGAACTAATAGAGGGGGAACTTGCTAACCCCGTCTCCTTGGGACAGCATTGTTCTGTTCATGATGGATCCACCTCCATGACCCAAACACCTCCCAAGAGGCCCAACCTCCCACAGTGGGGGTGAAATTTCCATGTGAGGTTTGAAGGGGTCAGACATCTCAACTAAAGTAGTTGTATCCTCAGCACGTTCTATGGTTACTATGAGAGCTATAATTGAGAAAGCAGGGGAAAGCTAGGTCTCCCACCATTTGGGTGCTTGTCCTAAAGAGACGTTGTATGTGGTTACCTGTCAATCAAGAAATGCGAGACAATTCATAAAGAGGAACTGCTATGATTAGCTTCTTATTGGTGTCTCCTCTTCTTCCAGGTAACCCCAGACACCTACACGTTCTGATTGGGACCTCAGTGGTCAAACTCCCTTTCACCATCCTCCTCTTCTTTCTCCTTCATCGCTGGTGCTCCAACAAAAAAAGTAAGTCTCACGAAGCAGAGGCCAGAGAGCTCAGGGCCATGTGGGGAAGCAGGATGGTAGCACGCGGGTGTGTGTTCCTCACAGGCAGGATGGTCCCTGGCCCAAGGCAGGAGCCACAGAGGCAGGACTTTCTAGAGAGAGCACCAGATTCCCTTCCCCTGCCTTCAGCTCACAGACCATTGCCTGATTCTGAACTGTACCCTCACGTCCCCTGCAGCCACTCACATCCAGGAGAAGGTTCCATGACAGGCAGAAAGTGGGAGATAGAATCAATGGGATGGGAACTCAGAGCTATTCATGGGATGGGTCCTTGAGCTCAGAGAGATAGAATGTCTGAGTCTGCTGTTGGCAACTGAGGGACCTCAGGCACCTATGGCCTCCCCCTGTTTGTTGGTATCTGCTTATGAAATGAGGACCCAGAAGTGCCCTCCGAGCTGTTTTGTTGACTTCCATCTTCTACAGATGCATCTGTAATGGACCAAGGGCCTGCGGGGAACAGAACAGTGAACAGGGAGGTAGGTGCTCCTCGGCCCAGCCTCGTGGCTAGTCTTATTCCCAAAGAGTCCTGAAAAATGTGAGCACCCTCCCTCACTCAGCATTTCCCTCTCTCCAGGATTCTGATGAACAGGACCATCAGGAGGTGTCATACGCATAATTGGATCACTGTGTTTTCACACAGAGAAAAATCACTCCCCCTTCTCAGAGGCCCAAGACACCCCCAACAGATACCAGCATGTACATAGAACTTCCAAATGCTGAGTCCAGATCCAAAGCTGTCTTCTGTCCACGAGCACCACAGTCAGGCCTTGAGGGGATCTTCTAGGGAGACAACAGCCCTGTCTCAAAACCGGGTTGCCAGCTCCCATGTACCAGCAGCTGGAATCTGAAGGCATCAGTCTTCATCTTAGGGGATCGCTCTTCCTCAAACCACGAATCTGAACATGCCTCTCTCTTGCTTACAAATGTCTAAGGTCCCCACTGCCTGCTGGAGAGAAAACACACTCCTTTGCTTAGCCCACAATTCTCCATTTCACTTGACCCCTGCCCACCTCTCCAACCTAACTGGCTTACTTCCTAGTCTACTTGAGGCTGCAATCACACTGAGGAACTCACAATTCCAAACATACAAGAGGCTCCCTCTTAACACAGCACTTAGACACGTGCTGTTCCACCTTCTCTCATGCAGTTCCACCTCCCCTCAGACTATCTTTCAGCCTTCTGTCAGCAGTAAAACTTATAAATTGTTTTTAGTAATTTCAATGTAGTTTTCCCTCCTTCAAATAAACATGTCTGCCCTCATGGTTTCGGTAATGGGACTCTTTTCTTGCCTAAGGCTTCTGGTGTTATCATTACCATGTCCACATAACCCCATCTGTTCTCCACTGGGTTCTCACCCCTGGACTCTGAGCTTCTGGAACAGGGTGGACCCTGACTTGTCTCTGAGACTCCAATTTCCATCCAAAGATGCAGCACATAGGAAGTTCCAAGGATCGTGAATCACATGAACAAGTGATATTCTTACTCTCTGCAGACCTGGAAAGCTGGCAGAGTCATTCCATGATGAAACATTTGTAGAGTCATAGGCCTTGTTAGTCTCATCTCCACGGGGACACATGTCAACGCATCATCTTTCATACTATAAATATACAGTCGCTCCTCCGTATCTGTGGGGTTTACAGGTGTTTATTGAACCAAGTATAAATCAAAAATATTCAGAGAAAAAGCCCACAAAGTTCCAAAAAGCAAAACTGTGTTGAATGCACACAAATGAGGTGGTGTATAGGCTGTATCAGGAATTATAAGTAATCAAGAGATGATTTCATGTATACAGGAGGATGTGCATGGGTTATATCCAAATGCTGTGTCATTTTATGTAAGAGGCTTGAGCATCTGCAGATTTTAGTATCTGAGTGGAGATCCTGAAACCAATCACCCATGAATAGTGAAGGATGACGGTATAGGACTTTTATTTCTCAAATTTAAATATAAATCATAAAAAATGTACAATAACTAGATAAAAACTAAGAAGTGTTTTTATAGTGTGAGAATAAGTTTAGATTTATTATTTCCTATGTGTAACCCTTTGGTTTAATATTATTTATTGAGAAGACATTCTATGCCACCTTAAACCACACGGCAGCCTTTGTCAACTAAAAAGGGACTGTGTGTACACGGATGTGTATTTTAGACACTGTCTCTGCTAAACGGCTCTCTGTGTCCACATTCTTGAGGATGCTCCACTTTATGTAGCCCCATAGAACCCTTTAAATTTAGTAGCCAGAGGCCTCTAATTTGTTATTATAGGCTATTTGCTATTTTTATTTTCTTGAGGCGGAGTCTTGCTCTGTCGCCCAGGCTGGACTGCAGTGGTGCAATCTCAGCTCACTGCAACCTCCGCCTCCCAGGTTCAAGCGATTCTCGTGCCTCAGCCTCTTGGGTAGCTGGTGTTACAAGTTCCTGCCACTGGGCACGGCTAATTTTTGGATTTTTAGCAGAGACACGGTTTCACTGTGTTGCCAGGCTGCTCTCAAACTCCTTATATCAGTTGATCCGCCCACCTCGGCTTCCCGACGTGCTGGGGGAAACTTGATTTTCTATAGCATTATGTTACTGGATATTTCTGTAAAATTTAAAATGAGGGAGGGAGAGAGACAGAGAGAGAGCAAACTCCAGAGTTGGGACTCTGGAAACTTGGGTCATGAGACAAATTTTAGATAAATCTACAAAAATCCAGAGTTTAAATGTGTGGTTTTTGCTGATAACGTACAATTCAAAGATTGTAAATAATTGCATAATCCTTCCCTGGGAATTTAAATCATTTTAACTGGTTCTGCTGTAATACTAGAAATACAAGCATGAAAAATTCTAATGGTTTATTAGTCACAATGACTCTGAAAACCTTAATAATACCTATTAGATATTTTGCATATTACACAGGAAGAAGAGTTTGAATCTCAGATAAAAACAATAAAAATACATGAAAAGTCTTTCACGTTAGCACAGATTTTAGGCATCTCGTGTTCAGGAGGTTGGATCTGAGACGTGTTTTGAGTTGGTCATAGTGAAGGACGCTAGGTGTAAATTCTAGTGAGAACAATTTCCAGGAAGCCGTGTTCCGCTCTTGAGCGAGCAACCACTGGGCCTCATGCAAGGTAGAAAGAGCCTGCGTACGTCACCCTCCCATGATGTGGTCAACATGTAAACTGCATGGGCAGGGCGCCAAATAACATCCTGTGCGCTGCTGAGCTGAGCTGGGGCGCGGCCGCCTGTCTGCACCGGCAGCACCATGTCGCTCACGGTCGTCAGCATGGCGTGTGTTGGTGAGTCCTGGAAGGGAATAGAGGAAGGGAGTGTGGGGTTGGAGATCTGGGCCCAGAGGTGGATATATAGGCCTGGAGGTGGAGTTGTGGGCCTGGAGTGGAGATCTGGGCCTGGAGTGGATATATGGGCCTAGAGATGGAGTGATGGGCCTAGAAGTGGAGATCTGGGCCCAGAGGTCGAGATATAGGCCTGGAGGTGGAGTGATGGGACTGTAGTGGAGATCTGGGCCTGGAGTGGAGATAGGAACCTGGAGGGGAGATAGGAACCTGGAGGGGAGATATGGGCCTGGAGGTGGAGATATGGGCCTGGAGTGGAGTCATGGGCCTGGAGGTGGAGTTACGGGCCTGCAGTAGAGATATGGGCCTGAAGTGGAGACATGGGCCTGGAGTGGAGATATGGGCCAGGAGTGGAGATATGGGCCTAGAGGTCGATATCTGGGCCTGGAGTGGAGATATGGGCCAGGAGTGGAGATATGGGCCTAGAGGTCGATATCTGGGCCTGGAGAGGAGATATGTGCCTAGGATGGAGATACGGGCCTGGGTGTGGAGATATGGGACTGGAGAGGATATATGGGCCTGGAGTGGAGATATGGGACTGGAGAGGAGATATGGACCTGGAGTGGAGATAAGGGCCTGGATTGGAGATATGGGCCCAGGGTGGAGATCTGAGCCTGGATTGGAGATATGGGCCTGGATTGGCGATATGGGCTTAGGGTGGAAATATCGGCCTGGAGTGGAGATATGGGCCTGGAGTGGAGATATGGGCTTGAGGTGGGGATATGGACCTGGAGGCTGGGTCTCTGCACAGCCGACAGCCCTGTTCTTGGGTGCAGGTAGGCACTGAGGGTGAGTTTACCTTCAGCCCAGGAAGGGCCTGGCTACCAAGACTCACAGCCCAGTGGGGGCAGCAAGGGTGCCCTGGTTTGCCTGCAGATGGGTCATCCATCATGATCTTTCTTTCCAGGGTTCTTCTTGCTGCAGGGGGCCTGGCCACATGAGGGTGAGTCCTTCTCCAAACCTTCGGGTGTCATCTCCCCACATAAGAGGATTTTCCTGAAATGGGAGGGAAGTCCTGTCAGGGAGTCTCTCATAAACTAGGAAGAAGGGACCCTGGGGTGCTGGGCCCACATTTCTGACCTTGCCTCCCTGGCCTTTCATTCCCTTGGCAGAGTCAAGTTCTGTGGGGACCAGGGTTAGACTACGGTGCTCAAAGCTGGGGTGTGTGGTGGGGAAGTGGTAGGAACAGCAGATCCTCTGAGGACAAAGGTGTTACTCACACACTTCAGCGTTTCCATGACAGTAGGGGCTGCAGTGTGGCTGCTGTCATTCTACCAGAAGAGGTGGGAAAACCACAGCCATGGCCCTGACATTCCAATCCTCTGATGGGGACTCAGTTGTTTATTTTCGTTCAGGCATCGGCTGATATTCCATTCTCAAAGGACATGCCCTCCACCCCATGTCTACCCTGTGTTGTTTTATGTGAGTAATCTTACAGTATTAAAATCTAGTAGGAGTCTCTTACTCAGCACTTGCTCAAAGTTCTCAGCTGACACTTTTGTTGTAGGGAGACACCTTGTGTTTGCGGGATGGGTTCTTCCTTTAGCCCTGGGCACCAAGGTGTGATAGCAGCCATAGAAACTTGGAAAGCGAGGAGAATCTTCAGAGCACAGGGAGGGAGGGGCGGCTCCACATCCTCCTCTCTAAGGCGGTGCCTCCTTCTCCCCACGGTGGTCAGGACAAGCCCTTGCTGTCTGCCTGGCCAAGCCCTGTGGTGCCTCCAGGATATGTGATTCTTCAGTGTCATTCTTATCTTGGGTTTAACAACTTCAGTCTGTAAAAGGAAGATGGGGTGCCTGTCCCTGAGCTCTACAACATAATATTCTGGAACAGCCTTTTCATGGGCCCTGTGACCCCAGCACACGCAGGGACCTATACATGTCGGGGTTCACAACCACACTACCCCAGTGGGTGGTCGGCACCCAGCAACCCCCTGGAGATCACGGTCACAGGTCAGAGGGCTCCTGTCTGGGATTCTCCTTGTCCCACCTCCTGAATCCCAGAGCTCCTGGTGGGCGTGTCCTTGCGGGTCCCATCATGCAAGTCCTGACTGTATTTGGGGTAAAGGGGGATTGAATACAGGGAAATGGGTGCTGTGGTGGGAAGAATAATTGTCCCCAGTGATGACTACATTCTAATCCCTGGAGTCTGTGACTATTTATGATATAGGGGAAGGGACTGAAGGAGAAGATGGAGCTCAGGTTGTTGATGAGTTGACCTTGAGATGGGGAGACAACCTGGACTGTCCTGATGGGCTCAGTGTAGTCACAGGGGTCCACAGGAAAGGAGGAGGAAGAGGGGAGTGGGGATTACAGCAGCATAATGGGAGTCTCCATCAGCTTTGAAGGTGGAGGAAGTCCAGGAGCCATGAATGCAGGTGGCCTATAGAGGCTGGAAAAGTCAAGGAACTGATTCTCCTGAGTCTCCAGAGGGAACGAAGCCCTGCAGGTACCTTGATTTTACCCACGACAAACAGGGTCCGATTTCTGTCTCCAGAATTGGAAGGGGTTAGTGTGCTCTCTCCTGCTGCCATGCTTCTGATAATTTTCTACAGCAGCAACAGGAAACCAACACTGGAACCCAGGTCAAGGACAAGTTAAGAAACAACACAAGGATAGCCAGGCATGGTGGCAGGTGCATGTAATCCTAGCGACTTGGGAGGCTGAGGGCAGGAGAATCACTTGAACCCAGGAGACAGAGGTTGCAGTAAGCCTAGACCACACCACTTCACTCCAGCCTGGGCAAAGGAGTGAGACTCTGTCGCCAAAATTAATTAATTAATTAAAGAAACCAAACAAGGAGAAGGTTGGCTACACTGAGATCAGCAAGGCTCGGATGATGATGCCACCACCAGGCTCCATCCACATAGGGAGCGGTTGATACTCCTCCAACCAGCACCAGGAGCCAGGCTATGGAAGCTGGCACTGGCATGGCAAGAGTGTCTCCCAGTCCCTACCAGGAACAGGGTGTGTGGCCACTGGTGCCTGCCTTACTGATCAGTTCATACCTCCTGCCAAGGATTCCAATTCGTCCAAAAGAGATTGAACCAGGCTGCTAAGAGCCTGGATGTGCAGCCTATCCTGGTTCCTCTTCCACCCCCACACAGACAGCAGGAAAGACATTAGTTCGAAATAGATACAACAGCCCAAGAGATGAGGCTGAGCCCAGCGGCAAGGGAATCAGAGGCTACTAGAGACAGAGGGACAGAGAAGAGTGAGGGAGACAGATGGAAGGACCTGCACCAGGAGTTATGGGCACAGAAAAGAACATGAAGACACAGAGAGGAAGGAGAGAGATAAGACACCAGGAAGGGGAAGCCTGACTCAATCCAGGTGCCATGGATGGGATGATAAAGAGAGACACCTTCTAAACTCACAACCTCTCTTCCTAGGAGTCCACAGAAAACCTTCCCTCCTGGCCCACCCAGGTCGCCTGGTGAAATCAGAAGAGACAGTCATCCTGCAATGTTGGTCAGATGTCATGTTTGAACACTTCCTTCTGCACAGAGAGGGGATGTTTAACGACACTTTGCGCCTCATTGGAGAACACCATGATGGGGTCTCCAAGGCCAACTTCTCCATCAGTCGCATGAAGCAAGACCTGGCAGGGACCTACAGATGCTACGGTTCTGTTACTCACTCCCCCTATCAGTTGTCAGCTCCCAGTGACCCTCTGGACATCGTGATCATAGGTGAGAGTGTCCAGACTTTCTTCTCATTGTCATTGGGATGCAGAGTGAATGATCCAGGACTTGGAGGCCCAGGTGGCTGTAAGGAAGATGAGCTTGGTATTCTTATGGAGAGAGACTGACTTGGTGAGGTCTGTGCCAACAGAGACAGAGAAACAGGAGACACAAGTAGAGACCAGGTGTCATAACAGAGAACAGACACAGGGGCCATACCGGGAGTTTGAAAAGACAGAAAGAGTTAAAGGAAACACACAGACAGACATGTCCCAGAGAGAGGTGTCCCTCCATGCTGACTTTGCTCAGAGACCTGGCACAGGTTAGAAGTTTCATTTCTGTTTTACCTCCACAAAGTGTTCTCTACCAGGAGAACCCAAGGACACCCATATTTCTGACCTGAGTTGGGCCCTGTGGCCTCAGGCCTTGTGGCACCTACAGATGCCATGTTTATTCTGACACCTCTGCCTTCCATGTAATGGAGAGTAATCGTCCCAGGATATCATGGCCCCACAACACCAACCCCTGTATGCTGTGTGAACTTGTAGTCTCCAGACTGGATTCTGAGGCTCATATTCCAAATAAGCCCACTTATGAGAGGATCAGTGAGAGGCACAGAGAGAAATCAGGGACACCAAAAAGCAAAGACATAAACACACAGAGAATGAGCCAGAGGAAGGAGATTGAGAGACTCACAGACACATAAAGAGAAAAGAGGGCAGAGAAGTGAGAATGATGGAAGGGAGCAGAGAAAAGCACTAAAATTAGACTCCTGAGGGAGAGGCACAAGGACATTGAAAGATGGAGATGTGGGGATGAATTGCAGAGATTCCAAAGAGAACTAGAGAGACCGAGAGGCAGAGCAAGACAGATGATAGATGGATAGATATAGATAGATGATAAATAGGTAGATGATAGATAATAGGTTATAGATACATAGATGATGATTGATTGATTCATTAATAGATGAGACATAGAGATGATGATGATGAAGACAGATAGATAGATAATACATAGAGATACAGAGGCAGACATAGAGAAATCATAGAGAGAGAGAGATGATACATAGATATAGATAATAGATGATTGATGGATAGATAGACAATTGATGGATAAATAGATGATATATAGATATAGATGACAGGTAGAGAATTTGTAGATAGGCACCGAATAGATAAATAGATAGATCGATAGATAATAGATAGAAATATGCAGAAAGTTATGAACAGGACACAAAGTGAGAAACTCAGAATTAAAAAAAGTAACATCAAGTCAACCAATCCAAGGAGAGTCAGAGAGAATAAAACAATCCAAAAAGAGAAAACATATCTAGAGGTGGGGAAGTGAGGTCAGAGACCTAAAGAGACAGAGAAGGTGGAAGGAGGAAATAGACATGAAGAGCGATGGGGTAGAGGGTGAGAGAGAGAGAGAGAGAGCATTAGGTCATAGAGCAGGGGAGTGAGTTCTCAGCTCAGGTGAAGGGAGCTGTGACAAGGAAGATCCTCCCTGAGGAAACTGCCTCTTCTCCTTCCAGGTCTATATGAGAAACCTTCTCTCTCAGCCCAGCCGGGCCCCACGGTTCTGGCAGGAGAGAATGTGACCTTGTCCTGCAGCTCCCGGAGCTCCTATGACATGTACCATCTATCCAGGGAAGGGGAGGCCCATGAACGTAGGCTCCCTGCAGGGACCAAGGTCAACGGAACATTCCAGGCCAACTTTCCTCTGGGCCCTGCCACCCATGGAGGGACCTACAGATGCTTCGGCTCTTTCCGTGACTCTCCATACGAGTGGTCAAAGTCAAGTGACCCACTGCTTGTTTCTGTCACAGGTGAGGAAAGCCCATGGCTGTCCCATGTCCTATGATCCTAGAGCCTTAGCTGAGGAGCTTCCTGCTGATGATGGAGAGAAGCATGGACAGATGCAGAGAGAAGACGCAGCCTCGGTGTGAGGGAGGGATCAGGGCACAGGATGGCCGACAGGGCACCTCCAAACCCTCCTACATGGCCTGCATGGAGGCCCACGGCCAGGGCTCCAGGCACCCAGGCAGATGGAGAAAGCGGTCAGGAGAGACCCAGAGGAGGGAGACTGGGCTCAGTTTGGGGAGATCAGAGGTTCCCTCAGCCCCTCAACCTTACCCATTTCCCAGAAGCCCATCCTGGCCTCTCACCCACACAGAGATGTCATCACCAGCAACCCCTACACCCTTTACTTTTCTTTGAAGAAATATTTATTGAGGATAAATATACCTATATAGCTTACCACTTTTAACATTTTTTTTTGAGGTGGAGTCTAGCTGTGTCCCCTATGCTGGAGTGCAGTGGCACAATCTCAGCTCACTGCAACCTCCACCTCCTGGGTTCAAGCGATTCTCCTGCCTCAGCCACCTGAGTAGCTGGTGCTACAGGCACGCACCACCACGCCAGGCTACTTTTTGTATTTTTAGTAGGGAGGTGGTTTCACCATGTTGGTCGAGCTGGTCTCGAACTCCTGACCAAGTGATCCACCCGCATCTGCCTCCCAAAGTGCTGGGATTACAGGCATGGGCCACCGCGCCCAGCCACATTTACCATTTTTAAGTGTAAAGTCTAGTGGTCATAAATACATTTATATACATATATATATATATACATTTTTTTTACCCTCCACCCTTTTCTTCCTGTCCTCCAGTAGCCACCATTCTACTCTCTACCTTCATGAGATCCACCTTTTAGCTCCTGTATATGGGTGAGAAATGGGAATCTTTGTAATGACCTCCAGTTCCATCCATGTGGCTGCAAATGACAGGATGTTATTCTTTCTATGGATGAGTAGTCTCCACTATGCGTATGTACTACATTCTCTCTATCCATTTACCCACTGATGGGCAGGTAGGTTGACTCCTCATCTTGGCTACTGTGAACAGTGCTGCACCAATCATACGAGTGCAGATATCACTTCGATATATTGATTTACTTTCCTTTGGATATAAACCCAGTAGTGAAATTGCTGGATACTATGAAAGTTCTCTTTTTTTCTTTTTTTCTTTTTTGAGAAAGAGTTTCCCTCCTTAGCCCAAGCTGGAGTCAAAGTGGTGCGACCTTGGCTCATTGCAACCTACGCCTCCTGGGTTCAAATGATTTTCCTGCCTCAGCCTCCCTAGTAGCTGGGATTACAGGTGCACACCACCATGCCTGGCTACTTTTTGGTTTTTTTAGTATAGATGGGGTTTCCCCATGTTGGCTGGGCTGCTCTCAAACTCATGACCTCAACTGAGGTGCCCGCCTCAGTCTCCCAAAGTGCCGGGATTACAGGCATGATCCACCGCACCCAACCTCTTTTTAGTTCTTTAAAGGACTTCCATACTTTTCTCCGTAATGGCTGTACTAATTTACACTCCTCCCAACAGGGTACCAGGGTTCTCCTTTCTCTACCACCTTGCCAGCATTTCTTTTGCCTGTCTTGCAGCTAAAAGCCATTTTATTTTATTTCATTTTATTTTGAGATGGAGTTTTGCTCTTCTCACCCAGGCTGGAGTGCAGTGGCGCGATCTCGGCTCACCACAACCTCCACCTCCCAGGTTCAAGCGATTCTCCTGCCTCAGCCTCCCGAGTAGCTGGAATTACAGGCACACGCCACCACGCCCGACTAATTTTTGTATTTTTAGTAGAGACAGTGTTTCTCTATGTGGGTCATACTGGTCTCAAACTCCCGACCTTATGAGATTCACCCACCTCAGGCTCTCAAAGTTCTAGGATGACAAACGTGAGCCACCTCACCCGGCCTAAAAGCCATTTTAATGGGGTGAGATGAAAACTCACTTTGAATTTAATTTGCGTTTCTCTGATGATGAGTGATACTGAGCAGTTTTTCGTATGTGGGGAAATTTCATGTCTTTTGCTCCTTTTTCAATTAAATCATTTGTTTTATTGAGTTGTTTGAGCTTCTTATATTTCTAGTTATTAATCCCATCTCAGATGCATAGTTTGCACATATTTGCTCCCAATCTGTGGGTTGTCTCTTCACTTTGTTGGTTTATTTTTAGCGGTGCAGAAGTTGCTTAGTATGAGGTAATCCCAATGGTCTATTTTTGCTTCGATTACTTGTGTTTTCAAGGTTTAAAACAAAATGTCTTTCTTCAGACAAATGTCCTGGAGCATTTCCCCAATATTTTGTTCTACGTGTTTCATAGGTTCAGGCCTTAGACTCACATCTTTAATCCATTTTCATTTGATTTTTGTGTATGGTGACAGGTAGAGGTGCAGTTTCATTCCTCTGCATGTAGATGTCCAGGTTTCCCTGCACTGTTTATTGAAAAGACTGTCCTTTCCTGATTGTGAGTTCTTGGCATCTTTGTCAAAGTCCATTGGATGGGCTGGGCTTGGTGGCTAACACCTGCAATTTCAGCACTTTGGGAGCCCGAGGTGGGTGGATCACCTGAGGCCAGGAGTTCAAGATTAGTCTGGCCGACGTGATGAAACATCATCTCCACTAAAAATATAAAAATTAGCTGAGCATGGTGGTCAGCACCTGTAATACCACTACTCAGGAGTTTGAGGCAAGAGAATGATTGAACCCAGGAGGCTGAGGTTGCAGTGAACCGAGATTGCACCTTTGCACTCCAGCCTGAGTGACAGAGCAAGACTCCATCTCAAAAGAAAAAATAAAAAACCATTGGATGTAAATGCATGGAATATATCTGTGTTATTCATTCTGCTCCGTTGTTCTATGTGCCTTTCTTTATGCCAGTGTCATGCTATTTTGCTTACTACAGCTCTGTAACATATTTTGAGATCAGGTAGTGTGATGCTCCTGTTTTCTCTTTATACCTTGAAGTCTCAAGACAGTGGGTGTCACATAAAAAAATTATGGAAAAAAGGATCCCAGGACTCCCAGGGCCCAATATTAGATAACAGAGTGTTGGCCATGAACCATCCTCAAAGATTTCCACTGAGTGGAGGACAGAAACCCTCATTTCCTCACCTCTCTCCTGTCTCATGTTCTAGGAAACCCTTCAAATAGTTGGCCTTCACCCACTGAACCAAGCTCCGAAACCGGTGAGTACAGAACCCTCTTATATCCGCTTTTGGAAACCTGGGGAGGTGGAAACCTTGGATTCAGGCGTTGACTCAGCATCTCACAGCTCTGACATTGTACACCTGTCTTCCACCATCTCCGAACTCCAGATACTCCTACAGCGAAAGGGATCTGGGCCCAACACAGGGCTCAGTGAAATCTCTTCATCTCTCATTTTATGGAGCTGAGACCTCCTACAAGCTAGAAGAATGATTGCCAATCTGACATCCTTCTCAGGAAAAATGCAATGTTTGTTCTGCCTGCATTCCTAACTGGAGGATAAATTCCTGGAGACTTGAGAGAGGGAAGGGAAGGGAACATCTGATGAGGGCGAGGTGTTTTAGAGAAGTTCCACTTGCCAAGGAATGAGCTCCTGTAGGTCATGAAGCAACCCTGGCTGACTCAGCAGAGCAAGAGCCTTGCCGTAACAGAGAACAGAGCTCATGCACACACACTTCGACTCACTGACTCATTCAGCCACGGCCCCATGCTCAGGCTGTGCAGTGCGGAACCTTTTCCTATTGTTGCCATAACAAATTTCCACAAGATTCGTGGGTGAAAACAAAACGGTTTTTTAATTATCTTACAGTGCTGTAGCTCAAAGTAGGAAGTGCATCTTACTGGGCTAAAATCAAGGTGACAGCAAGGCTGCCTTCCCTCTGAGGATTCCAGGCACGAATCTGCTTCTCACTTGTCCCAGCTTCTAAAGGCTCCCAGTTCCTTGGCTCCTGGTCCCCTTCCTCCTTCCTCAAAGCCCACAAAGACTGGTCACATCTCACATGGCATCACTCAGTGCCTTCTTCCTTACCACACTTCTTTCTCTGAATGCTGCTCTCCCTTCTTCCTCATCTTTTGAAAACTTGGGGATTCTATTGGGTTCACCAAGATGAAAATCCCTCATAATCTCCTGGAAATCATCCAGGATACCCTTGTTTTAAGTTCAGCTGATTAGTAACCATAATTCCATCTGCAATCTTCATTCCTCCTTTCCATGTAAAATAACATATTCACAAGCTATGGAGGCTAGGACAGGGACATTTTGGGGTGGGACAGCATTCTCCTGCCTTCCACAAACAGTGAACAAGATGCATTTGGCCTCTGCCCTTGGGACACTGATATTGCAGATGGTTAAATGGGAGGGCAGAAAATGAATGCACAAGTGGATCTATAAATGAATGATCCATTGGGAAGCATCTGTGCATGAAATCTATTTTTTGTTTGTTCTTTTGTTTATTGAGACAGAGTTGCCCTCTGTCTTCCAGGCTACAGTGCAGTGTCACGATCTTGGCTCACTGCAACCTGCTTCTCCTGGATTCAAGTGATTCTCCTGCCTCCGCCTCTCGAGTAGCTGGGATTACAGGCAACTGCCACCGTGCCCGGCTAATTCTTTTTGTATATTTTTTGTAGAGAGGATGTTTCACCACGTTGGCCAAGCTTGTCTGAAACTCCCAACCTCAAGTGATCCGACCGTCTCAGCATGCCAAAGTAATGGGACTACAGGCGTGAGCCACTGTGCCCAGCCAGAATTCAAAATCAATAATAGATAATGCTGAGTGTATGATTTCAGGTGACAAAGAAGGTCTCACTATTCAGATATTTGTGACATTAATGAAAAACACGGATTGAACCCCTGAAAGATTGGCGGAAGGATTTTGCACACACAGCTGTCAGCCGTGAAGGCACAAAGGTGAAAACAATCTGATGTGGAAGGAAGAGGCTCTTCCTCAAATGCTGGGAATGAGGTGGGGAGAATGACAAGACGACTGTGGAGAGACGGAGAGCACACTGGGTACACAGGAAACTAAGGAGCAACAAGGAGTGTGTGTTTGACACTCACAGCCATTGGATTCACCTCGGGGTAACCAGGAATCCCTACATGATTAATATGACTGACATGAAAATAAAGGAGGCCCAGGGGCGTAACTGGAATCTAGGAGACCGTGGAAAAGGCAATTCCCGACCCACTGGTGAAATGTGGTGCTGATTTTGACACTAAGTGGATGAAGCAGATGGATATAAGCTATGCTTGTGAGGTAGAATCATTGGCTGGAAAGGCTTGCTGGGTTTGATTTTCCTACTTGTTTAATCCTCGCTTAATTAATTTCTTTCTGAGATTTATTCATCCTACACATAAATCAATACCTGGCAAAGGAGTGACAGATATATGAGGGGTGGTGGAAATGAAGAGACCTATTATAGCGTAATATACAAGTCTGTGAACGGTGGCTCACGCTTGTAACCCAGCACTGCAGGAGGCCAAGGCGGGTGGATTCCATGAAGTCAGGAGTTCCAGACCAGCCTGGCCAACATGGTGAAACCCTATCTGTACTAAAAATACAAAAATTAGCCGAGCATGGTGGTGCATCCCTGTAATCCCAGCTCCTACTCTGGAGGATGAAGCAGGAGAATGACTTCAACCCAGGAGGTGGAGGTTGCAGTGAGTGGAGATTGCATCACTGCACTCCAGCCTGGGTGACACAAGGAGACTCCGTCTCAAAAAATAAAAATAAGAAATGCATAAATATAATAAAACACACACGAATGACAAAGGCACCTGAATTCCAATCATCATTTTTCTATTTCTCTATAATTACTTCTTTGATCCTTTATCTTATCCATTAGGCAATGAGCCTAAAACCTCTTCCCTATTTGGCTTTCTGTGAGCATGAGATCACATAGAAAATGTGAAAGCCCGCTGAATCCTCCAGCACGGATCCTGGAATAGAGAAAGTGCTCTGTTCATCGCAAAAAAAAACTTGCCCACTCACCCAAATCCCCCACCTCACCCCTACTTCCAATCACCTGTGGAGATTCAGATAGACCATGGGGAGGAAACATTAATACTCCTTGGAGTGAGTCCAGATCTTGGAATCAGAGATCAGCGACAGCACTAGCTCCTGTTCCCCTTTCCTACTAATTCACAGGAGGACAGGTGGTATTGAAGCAATAGATGGTGGAGGGGGTGGTCCTTCCCCCAGCCTCTCGGGTAGAACAGCAGCCTAACATGTGTCTCCCGAGATCACAAAGAGCAGCACATTTCACACGGGCTTCAACACTATTTTCTGGCTGTTTGACATAAGAGAATCTTGCTTCGCTATTTTTAATCGTGATTTCACCTTTGTTTCCTTTCCTTGGTGAATGCAATTTGTTTGACTCAAGAATGCTGTGGATGTAGAAATCCTAAAGCACATTCGCTGTGTATCAATCCCAGTGCAGTCTTCCCAGAGAAGACTCTAAACAAATCCTGGACTGCACCTGGGCCTATGCCAATTCCTATCACTCACCGTCACTCCAGGGAGACAGAACACACAGAGAATACGTTACATAGGCAGGTTCATTACTAACAGATAAGCAGTGAGTGACAACAGAAGCCTGCATTTCAATGTGAGCCAGTCCCTCAAGGCTCAGAAAAGCTGCTCGGGACATATGGAGTCACCCCATTTGCAGTGTAACTGGGGGAAGCCAGAAAGCAGCCCAGCCTGGGTTTTGTACCCTGGAGCCACAGGAAGCACTCAGCTAAAGCACTGCATGACGTCCTCCTCCAGGAAGAACAGGAAGACAGCCCAGGCTGTTCTGAGACATTCCTCCTGATCTCAGGATGTTGCTATCTTAGTCCATTTTTGTTGCTCTAAAGGAACACTTGAGCCTGGGTAACTTCTAAAGAAAAGAGATTGGTTTGCCTCACAGTTCTGCAGGCTGTACTGGAAGCATGGCACCAGAATCTATTTCTCGTGATGGCCTCAGGCTGCTCCCACTCTGGCAGAAGGGAAGGAGGGTCTGTCTGTGCAGAGACCGCAGAGATCACACGGCAAGAGAGAGAGTAAGGGGGAGAGGGAGCGATGGAGCTTCCAAGCTCTTTTTAACAACCAGCTCTCCAGGAACTAACAGAGGGGGAACTTGCTAACCCCGTCTCCTTGGGACAGCATTGGTCTGTTCATGATGGATCCACCTCCATGACCCAAACACCTCTGAAGAGGCCCAACCTCCCACAATGGGGGTGAAATTTCAATGTGAGGTTTGAAAGGGTCAAACATCTCAACTAAAGTAGTTGTATCCTCAGCACGTTCTATGGTTACTATGAGAGCTATAATTGAGAAAGCAGGGGAAAGCTAGGTCTCCCGCCATTTGGGTGCTTGTCCTAAAGAGACGTTGTATGTGGTTACCTGCCAATCAAGAAATGCGAGACAATTCATAAAGAGGAACTGCTATGATTAGCTTCTTATTGGTGTCTCCTCTTCTTCCAGGTAACCCCAGACACCTACATGTTCTGATTGGGACCTCAGTGGTCAAAATCCCTTTCACCATCCTCCTCTTCTTTCTCCTTCATCGCTGGTGCTCCGACAAAAAAAGTAAGTCTCACGAAGCAGAGGCCAGAGAGCTCAGGGCCATGTGGGGAAGCAGGATGGGAGCACGCGGATGTGTGTTCCTCACCAGCAGGATGGTCCCTGGCCCAAGACAGGAGCCACAGAGGCAGGACTTTCTAGAGAGAGCACCAGATTCCCTTCCCCTGCCTTCAGCTCACAGACCATTGCCTGATTCTGAACTGTATCCTCACGTCCCCTGCAGCCACTCACATCCAGGAGAAGGTTCCATGACAGGCAGAAAGTGGGAGATAGAATCAATGGGATGGGACCTCAGAGCTATTCATGGGATGGGTCCTTGAACTCAGAGAGATAGAATGTCTGAGTCTGCTGTTGGCAACTGAGGGACCTCAGGCACCTATGGCCTCCCCCTGTTTGTTGGTATCTGCTTATGAAATGAGGACCCAGAAGTGCCCTCCGAGCTCTTTTGTTGACTTCCGTCTTCTACAGATGCTGCTGTAATGGACCAAGAGCCTGCAGGGAACAGAACAGTGAACAGCGAGGTAGGTGCTCCTCGGCCCAGCCTCGTGGCTAGTCTTATTCCCAAAGAGTCCTGAAAAATGTGAGCACCCTCCCTCACTCAGCATTTCCCTCTCTCCAGGATTCTGATGAACAAGACCATCAGGAGGTGTCATACGCATAATTGGATCACTGTGTTTTCACACAGAGAAAAATCACTCGCCCTTCTGAGAGGCCCAAGACACCCCCAACAGATACCAGCATGTACATAGAACTTCCAAATGCTGAGCCCAGATCCAAAGTTGTCTTCTGTCCACGAGCACCACAGTCAGGCCTTGAGGGGATCTTCTAGGGAGACAACAGCCCTGTCTCAAAACCGGGTTGCCAGCTCCCATGTACCAGCAGCTGGAATCTGAAGGCATCAGTCTTCATCTTAGGGCATCGCTCTTCCTCACACCACGAATCTGAACATGCCTCTCTCTTGCTTACAAATGTCTAAGGTCCCCACTGCCTGCTGGAGAGAAAACACACTCCTTTGCTTAGCCCACAATTCTCCATTTCACTTGACCCCTGCCCACCTCTCCAACCTAACTGGCTTACTTCCTAGTCTACCTGAGGCTGCAATCACACTGAGGAACTCACAATTCCAAACATACAAGAGGCTGCCTCTTAACACAGCACTTAGACACGTGCTGTTCCACCTCCCTTCAGACTATCTTTCAGCCTTCTGCCAGCAGTAAAACTTATAAATTTTTTAAATAATTTCAATGTAGTTTTCCCGCCTTCAAATAAACATGTCTGCCCTCATGGTTTCGGTAACGAGACTCTTTTCTTGCCTAAGGCTTCCGGTGTTATCATTACCATGTCCACATAACCCCATCTGTTCTCCATTGGGTTCTCAGCCCTGGACTCTGAGCTTCTGGAAGCAGAATGGAGCCTGATTTGTCTCTGAGACTCCAATTTCCATCCAAAGATACAGCACATAGGAGGCTCCAAGGATCGTGAATCACATGAACAAGTGATATTCTTACTCTCTGCAGACCTGGAAAGCTGGCAGAGTCATTCCACGATGAAACATTTGTAGAGTCATAGGCCTTGTTAGCCTCATCTCCACGGGGACACATATCAACATATCATCTTTCATAATATAAATATACAGTCGGTCCTCCATATCTGTGGGGTTTACAGGTGTTTATTGAACCAACAATAAATCAAAAATGTTTTCAGAAAAAAATCCCCGAAGTTTCAAGAAGCAAAAAACTATGTTGAATCGACACAAATTGAGTGGCGTGTAGGCTGTGTCAGGAATTATAAGTAATCAAGAGATGATTTCATGTATACAGGAGGATGTGCATGGGTTCTATGCAATTACTATGCTATTTTTTTTTTTTGAGACAGTCTCACTCTCTCACCCAGGCTGGAGTGCAGTGGCATGATCTCAGCTCACTGCAACCTCCGCCTCCCAGGTTCAAGCGATTGTCTTCCCTCAGCCTCCCCAGTAGCCTCCCCTAGGATTACAGGCACGTGCCACCATGCACAGATAAATTTTTTTGTGTGTGTATTTTTAGTAGAGATGGGGTTTCAGAATGTTGGACCAGCTGGTCTTGAACTCCTGACCTCGTGATCTACCCAACTCAGCCTCCCAAAGTGCTGGGATTACAGGCGTGAGCCACGGTGCCCAGCTTCGCTATGCCATTTCATGCAAGGGGCTTGAGCATCTGCAGATTTTGGTATCTGAATGGGGATCCTGGAACCAATCACCCAGGAATAGTGAAGGACCACAGTATATAATTTTTATTTGTCAATCTTAAAAATAAAGCATAAAAAGTTTACAACAACAAGATAAAAAATAAGAAGTGTTTTTATAGTGTGAGGATAAGTTTAGATTTATTTTTTCCTACGTGTAACCCTATGGTCCTGTGTTATTTATTGAGAAAATATTCTATTCCACCTTAAACTACATGGCAGCCTTTGTCAACTATGAAGGGACTGTGTATCCACAGATGTATTTTAGACACAGTTTTCTGCCCAGTGGTTCTCTGTATCCCCTCTCATGAGGATGCTGCATTTCATATAAACTTATAGAACCCCTTAAAATTTGGTAACCTGAGTTCTCTGATTTGTTATTATAGGTTATTTAGTTTGCTTTTTTTTTTCTTTCTTGAGACAGACTCTTCCTCTGTCACCCAAGCTGGAGTTCAGTGGCTTGAGCTCAGCTCACTGCAGCCTCCGCCTCCCAGGTTCAAGCAATTCTCGTGCCTCAGGTTTAGTACTAGAAACTCATCAGGAAAATTAGAATGGCTTTTTGTCACAATTACTCTGATAATGTTAATAATACCTCTTAGATATTTTGCACATTACACATGAAGAAAAGTTTGAATCTCAGATAAAAACAAAAATACATCAAAAGTCTTTAATGTAAGCACAGAATTCAATCACCTCATGTGTGAGAGGTTGGATCTGAGACGTCTTTTGAGTCTGGTCATAGTGAAGGATGCAAGGTGGCAATTGTAGTCACAACAATTTCCAGGAAGCCATGTTCCGCTCTTGAGCGAGCACCCACTGGGCCTCATGCAAGGTAGAAAGAGCCTGCGTACGTCACCCTCCCATGATGTGGTCAACATGTAAACTGCATGGGCAGGGCGCCAAATAACATCCTGTGCGCTGCTGAGCTGAGCTGGGGCGCGGCCTCCTGTCTGCACCGGCAGCACCATGTCGCTCACTGTCGTCAGCATGGCGTGCGTTGGTGAGTCCTGGAAGGGAATAGAGGGAGGGAGAGTGGGGATGGAGATCTCGGCCTAGAGGTAAAGATATGGGCCTGGAGTGGAGATATGGGCCTGGAGTGGAGATATGGGCCTGGGTGTGGAGATATGGGCCTGGAGGTGTAAATATGGGCCTGGAGTGGAGATATGGGCCTGGAGGGGAGATATGGGCCTGGGTGTGGAGATATGGGCCTGGAGTGGAGATACGGGCCTGGAGTGGAGATATGGGCCTGGAGTGGAGATATGGGCCTGCAGGTGGAGATCTGGGCCTGGAGTGGAGATATGGGCCTGGAGTGGAGATATGGGTCTGATGTGGAGATATGGGCCTGGAGTGGAGATATGGGCCTGGAGTGGAGATATGGGCCTAGAGGGGAGATCTGGGCCTGGAGTGGAGATATGGGTCTGATGTGGAGATATGGGCCTGGAGTGGAGATATGGGTCTGATGTGGAGATATGGGCCTGGAGTGGAGATAGGGGCCTGGAGTGGAGATATGGGCCTGGAGTGGAGATCTGGGCCAGGAAGTGTTGATCTGGGCCTGGAGCCTGGGTCTCTCCACAGCTGAGAGCCCTGTTCTTGGCAGCAGGTAGCAGGGAGGCTAAGTTTACCTTCAGCCCAGCAAGGGCCTGGCTGCCAAGACACACAGTGCAGTGGGGGCAGCAGGGTGCCCTGGTTTGCCTGCAGTTGGATCGTCTATCATGATCTTTCTTTCCAGGGTTCTTCTTGCTGCAGGGGGCCTGGCCACTCATGGGTGAGTCCTTCCCCAAACCTTAGGGTGTCATCTCCCCACATAAGAGGATTTTTCTGAAACAGGAGGGAAGTCCTGTCGGGGAGTCTCTCATAAACTAGGAAGAGGGGACCCTTGGATACTCGGCCCACATTTCTGACCTCGCCCTCCCCGGCCTTTCTTTCCCTTTCCTGAGTCAAGCTCTGTGAAGACTGGGGTGAGACTGGGGTGCTCCAAGCTGGGGTGTGCAGGGAGGAAGTGGTGTCAGCAGCAGAGAAAGAGAGGGAAGCAGTGCTAGGAACAGCAGGTCCTCTGAGGACAAAGGTATAACTGACACCCTCCAGCGTTTCCGTGACGGTAGGGACTGCAGTGTGGCTGCGGTCTTTCTACCAGAAGAGGGGGGAAACCACAGCCATGGCCCTGACATTCCAAATCCTCTGAGGGGGCTCAGTTCATGAATTGGCTGATATTCCATTCACATAGGACATGCCCTCCATGCCGTGTCTACTTTGTGTTGTTTTATGTGAGTAATTTTGCAGTATTAAAATCTAGTAAGAGTCACTTATTCAGCACTTGCTCAAAGTTCTCAGCTGACACTTGTTGTAGGGAGACGCCATGTCTATGTGGGGTGGGTCCTTCCTGTAGCCCTGGGCACCCAGGTGTGGTAGGAGCCTTAGAAAGTGGAAATGGGAGAATCTTCTGAGCACAGGGAGGGAGGGGTGGCTCCACATCCTCCTCTCTAAGGCAGTGCCTCCTTCTCCCCCAGGTGGTCAGGACAAACCCTTCCTGTCTGCCCGGCCCAGCACTGTGGTGCCTCGAGGAGGACACGTGGCTCTTCAGTGTCACTATCGTCGTGGGTTTAACAATTTCATGCTGTACAAAGAAGACAGAAGCCACGTTCCCATCTTCCACGGCAGAATATTCCAGGAGAGCTTCATCATGGGCCCTGTGACCCCAGCACATGCAGGGACCTACAGATGTCGGGGTTCACGCCCACACTCCCTCACTGGGTGGTCGACACCCAGCAACCCCCTGGTGATCATGGTCACAGGTCAGAGGCTTTCTGTCTGGGCTTCTCACTGTCCCACCTCCTGAATCCCAGAGCTTCTGGTGGGGGTGTCCATCAGGGTCCCATCACCCAGGCCCCAACTGTATTTGGGGTCAAGGGGGATTGAATACAGGGGAAATGGGCGCTGTGGTGGGAAGAATCACTGTCGCCAATGATGGCTACATTGTAAACCCTGGAGCCTGTGACTATTTATGTTATAGGGCAGGGGACTGAAGGGGAAGGTGGAGCTCAGGTTGTTGATGAGTTGACCTTGAGATGGGGAGACAGCCTGGACTGTCCTGCTGGGCTCAGTGTAATCACAAGGGTCCGCGTGAGAGGTGGAGGAAGAGGGGAGTGGGGATTAGAGCAGTGTAGTGGGAGGGAGACGCTATCAGCCACTGTGGGCTTTGAAGGTGGAGGAAGGCCACTAGTCACAGAATGCAGGTGGCCTCTAAGGGCTGGAGAAGTCAAGAGAACTGATTCGCTGAGTCTCCAGAGGGAACGCAGCCCTGCAGATGCCTTGATTTCAGCACAGGGAGAACTGGATCCAATTTCTGTCCCCAGAAGTGGAAGGGGTCAGTGTGTTCTCTCCTGCTGCCATGTTTGTGATAATTTTCTGCAGCAGCAACAGGAAACCGACACAGGAACCCAGGTCAAGGACAAGCTAGGAAACCAAACAAGGATAGCCAGGTGTGGTGGTGGGCACGAGTAATCCAACGACTGGGGAGGCTGAGGCAAGAGAATCACTTGAACCGGGGAGGCAGAGGTTGCAGTGAGCCAAGACAACACCACTGCACTCCAGCCTGGGTGAAAAAGTGACTGTCTCAAAAATAAATTAATTAATCAATTAATTAAAGAAACCAAACAAGGAGAAGGTTGGCTACCGTGGGATCAGCAAGGGTGGGATGCTGATGCCACCACCAGGCTCCATCCACATAGGAAGGGGTTGATGCTCCTGGAACCAGCACCAGGGACCACCCTATGGAAGCTGGGGCCATGGAGAAGGCACAGACATGGCAGGAGAGGCTCCCAATCCCCATCAGGAACAGGGTGTGTGGACACTGATGTCTGCCTTACTGATGAGTTGATACCTCTGCCAGAGACTCCAATTTGTTCAAAAGAGATTGATTCAGGCTGCTGAGAGCCTGGACATGCAGCCTGTCCTCTTCCACCCCCACATAGACAGCAGGAAAGAGACTAGTGGGAAAGAGATACAACAGCCCAAGAGATGAGGCTCTCTTCACAGTGGGAAGGGAGTCAGGGGCTACTGGAGACAGAGGGACAGAGAAGAGGGAGGAAGACAAATGGAGGGACCTGCACCAGGGGATATGGGCACAGAAAAGACACGGAGACACAGAGAGGGAGGAGAGAGACAGACCTCTGGGAGGGGAACCCTCACTCATTCCAGGTGCCATGGATGGGATGATAAAGAGAGATGCCTTCTAAACTCACAACTTCTCTTTCTAGGAAACCACAGAAAACCTTCCCTCCTGGCCCACCCAGGGCCCCTGCTGAAATCAGGAGAGACAGTCATCCTGCAATGTTGGTCAGATGTCATGTTTGAGCACTTCTTTCTGCACAGAGAGGGGATCTCTGAGGACCCCTCACGCCTCGTTGGACAGATCCATGATGGGGTCTCCAAGGCCAACTTCTCCATCGGTCCCTTGATGCCTGTCCTTGCAGGAACCTACAGATGTTATGGTTCTGTTCCTCACTCCCCCTATCAGTTGTCAGCTCCCAGTGACCCCCTGGACATCGTGATCACAGGTGAGAGTGTCCAGACATTCTTCTCATTGTCATTGGGACACAGAGTGAATGATCCAGGACTTGGAACCCCCAGGTGGTCATGAGGAAGATAAGCGTGAGATTCTTATGGAGAGAGACTGACTCGGTGAGGTCTGTACCAACAGAGACAGGGAAACAGGAGACATAAGTACAGACCAGGTGTCATAACAGAGGACAGACACAGGGGCCATACGGGGAAGTAGAAAAGAGAGAAAGAGGTAAAGGAGACACTCAGACAGACAGACATGTGCCAGAGAGAAGTGTCCTTCCATGCTGACTTTGCTCAGAGACCTGGCACAGGTTAGAAGTTTCATTTCTGTTTTGTCTCCACAAAGTGCTTCTACGAGGAGAACCCAAGGACACCCATATTTCTGACCTGAGTTGGGCCCTGTGGCCTCAGGCCTTGTGGCATCTACAGATGCCATGTTTATTCTGACACCTCTGCCTTCCATGCAGTGGAGCCATAATTATCCCAGGATATCATGGCCCCAGAACACCAACCCCTAAATACTGTGTGTACTTGGTGTCCCCAGACTAGATTCTGAGGCTCATATTCCAAATAATCCTACATATAATAGGATCACTGAGAGACACAGAGATAAATCAGGGACTTCAAAAAGCAAAGGCATAAACACACAGAGAATGAGCCAGAGGAAGGGGATTGAGAGACTCACAGACACACAAAAAGAAAGAAAAGAGGGCAGAGGAGTGGAGAGAATGCTGGAAGGGAGGAGAGAAAAGCCCCAAAATCAGAACCCTGAGGGAGGGGCACAAAGACAGAGAAAGATAAAGATGTGGGGATGGATTGCAGAGATTCCAAATAGAACTAGAGAGACTGAGAGGCAGAGAAAGACAAGGAGATGGAGAGAGACAGATGATAGATGGATAGATAGATATAGATAGATGATAAATAGGTAGATGATAGATAATGGATAGGTTATAGATACATAGATGATGATTGATAGATGATACATAGAGATGATGATGATGATGATGATGAAGATAGATAGATAGAAGACACATATATAAATATATAGATACATAGATGATACATAGAGACTGACAGGCAGACAGAGAGGTAATAGAGAGAGAGAGAGATGATACATAGATACAGATAATACATAGATGATTGATGGATAGACAGATAGACAATTGATAGATAAATGATACATAGATATAGATGACAGATAATTTGTAGATAGACACAAAATAGATAGATAGATAATAGATAGAAATATGCAGAAAGTTATGAACAAGACAGAAAGTGAGAGACTCAGAATTATAGAAAAAGGAAGATCAAGTCAACCAATCCAAGGAGAGTCAGAGAGAATAAAACAATCCAAAAAGGGAAAGCATACCCAGGGGTGGGGAAGTGAGGTCAGAGACCTAGAGAGACAGAGAAGGCGGAAGGAGGAAATAGACATGAAGAGAGTTGGGGTGGAGGGTGAGAGAGAGAGAGAGCATTAGGTCATAGAGCAGGGGAGTGAGTTCTCAGCTCAGGTATGAGGGGAGCTGTGACAAGGAAGAACCTCCCTGAGGAAACTGCCTCTTCTCCTTCCAGGTCTATATGAGAAACCTTCTCTCTCAGCCCAGCCGGGCCCCACGGTTCAGGCAGGAGAGAACGTGACCTTGTCCTGTAGCTCCTGGAGCTCCTATGACATCTACCATCTGTCCAGGGAAGGGGAGGCCCATGAACGTAGGCTCCGTGCAGTGCCCAAGGTCAACAGAACATTCCAGGCAGACTTTCCTCTGGGCCCTGCCACCCACGGAGGGACCTACAGATGCTTCGGCTCTTTCCGTGCCCTGCCCTGCGTGTGGTCAAACTCAAGTGACCCACTGCTTGTTTCTGTCACAGGTGAGGAAAACCCGTGTCTGTCCCATGTCTTATGATCCTAGAGCCATAGCTGAGGAGCTTCCTGCCGATGATGGGGAGAAGCATGGACAGATGCAGAGAGAACACGAAGACTGGGTGTGAAGGGGGGGTCAGGGTGCAGGATGGCAGACAGGGCACCTCCAAACCCTCTTGCATGGCCTGCATGGAGGCCCATGGTCAGGGCTCCAGGCACCCAGGCAGATGGAGAAAGCGGTCAGGACAGACCCAGAGAAGGGGAGACTGGGCTCAGTTTGGGGAGATCAGAGGTTCCCTCAGCCCCTCAACCTTACCCATTTCCCAGAAGCCCATCCTGGCCTCTCACCCACACAGAGAGATGTCATCACCAGCAACCCCTACACTCTTTTCTTTTCATTTTCAAAAATATTTATTGAGGTTAAATGTAACTATATAATTTACCAACTTTACCATTTTTAAAAGTAAAATCTAGTGGTCATAAATACCTTTATATGCTGGGTGTGGTGGTTCACGGTTGTAATCTTGGCGCTTTGAGAGGCCAAGAAAGGTGGATCATTTAAGATCAGGGACTCGAGATCAGCCTGGCCAACATGCGGGAAATTCATCTTTACTAAACAGACAAGAAAAATTAGCCAAGCATGCCGGCATGCACCTGTAGTCCTAGCTACTTGGGAGGCTGAGGCAGGAGAAGCACTTAAAGCCAGGAGGCAGAGGTTGCACTGAGCCGAGATCATGCCACTGCACTGCAGCCTGGGAGACAGAGAGAGACTCTGTTTCTAAATAAATAAATACATCTATATTCTTTTTTTTGTTACCCTCCACCCTTCCCTTCCTGGCCTCTGGTATCCACCATTCTATTCTCTACCTTCATGAGATCCACCTTTTATCTCCTGCATGTGGTGAGAAATGGGAATCTTTGTAATGACCTCCAGTTCCATCCATGTGGCTGCAAATGACAGGATGTTATTGTTTCTATGGATGAGTAGTCTCCACCGTGTGTGTGTACTACAGTTCTCTATCCATTCACCCACTGATAGGCAGGTAGGTTGACTCCACATCTTGGCTACTGTGAACAGTGCTGGAACAGTCATATGAGTGCAGATATCACTTCGATACACTGATGTCCTTTCCTTTGGATATAAACCCAGTAGTGAAATTGCTGGACACTATGAAAGTTCTCTTTTTTTTTTTTCTTTTTTGAGAAAGAGTTTCCCTCCTTAGTCCAAGCTGGAGTCAAAGTGGTGCGATCTTGGCTCATTGCAACCTCTGCTTCCTAGGTTCAAACGATTCTCCTGACTCAGCCTCCCTAATAGCTGTGATTACAGGTGCACGCCACCATGCCTGACTAATTCTTGTATTTTTTAGCACAGACGGGATATCCCAATTTTGGGCAGGCTGCTCTCAAACTCCTGACCTCAAGTGAGGTGCCTGCCTCGGTTTCCCAAAGTGCTGAAGTTACAGGCATAAGCCACTATGCCCAGCCTCCTTTTAGTTTTTTAAAGTTTTTCCATACTTTTCTCCATAATAGTTGTACTAATTTACATTCCTACCAACAGGGTACCAGGGTTCTCCTTTCTCTACCATCTTGCCAGCATTTGTTTTGCCTGTCTTGCAGATAAAAGCCATTTTACTTTATTTATTTATTTATTTATTTATGTTGAGATGGAGTTTCACTCATAGTCGCCCAGGCTGGAGTGCAAGGGTGTGATCTCGGCTCACTGCAACCTCTGCCTCCCGCGTTCAACTGATTCTCCTGCCTCAGCCTCCAAAGTAGCTGGGATTACAGGCATGTGCCACCACGCCTAGCTAATTTTTGTATGTTTAGTAGAGAGGGAGTTTCTCCATGTTGGTCAGGCTGGTCTCCCGACCTCAGGTGATCCGCCCACCTCCGCCTCCCAAAGTGCTGGAATTACAGGCGTGAGCCACCGGCCTAAAAGGCATTTTAATGGGATGAGATGAAAACTCATCGCGATTGTAATTTACATTTCTGTGATGATGAGTGATGCTGAGCACTTTTTCATATACGTGATCGCCATTTCTATGTTTTGTTTGTGGAGAAATGTCTCCTCATGTCTTTTGCTCGTTTTTTAATTAAATTGTTTTATTGAGTTGTTTGAGCTTCTTATATTTCCAGTTATTAATCCCATCTCAGATGAATAGTTTGCAAATATTTGCTCCTATTTTGTGGGTTGTCTCTTCACTTTGTTGGTTTATCTTTGGTGGTGCAGAAGTTGCTTGGTTTGATGTAATCCTAATGGTCTATTTTTTGCTTTGATTACTTGTGTTTTGAAGGTTTTAAACAAAATGTCTTTCGTCAGACAAATGTCTTCCCCATTATTTTCTTCTACATGTTTCATAGGTTCAGGCCTTAGACTCATGTTTTTAATCCATTTTCATTTGATTTTTGTGTAAGGTGACAGGTATAGATGCAGTTTTATTCCTCTGCATGTAGATATCCAGTTTTCCCCACACCATTTATTGAAGACTGTCCTTTCTTGATTGTAAGTTCTCGGCACCTTTGTCAAAGTCCATTAAATGGGCTGGGCATGGTGGCTCACACCTGCAATTCCAGCACTTTGGGAGGCCGAGGCGGGTGGATCACCTAAAGCCAGGAGTTCAAGACCAGGCTGGCCAACAGAGTGAAACCTCGTCTCTACTAAAAATACAAAAATTAGCTGAGCATGGTGATCAGTGCCTGTAATACCACTACTCAGGAGTTTGAAGCAAGAGAATTTCTTGAATCCAGGAAGTGGAGGTTGCATTGAGCTGAGATTGCACCTCTACACTCCAGCCTGCATGACAGAGCAAGATTCCATCACACACACACAAAAGAAAGCCATTGGATGTAAATGCATGGATTATATCTGTGTTCTCCATTCTGTTCCATTTTTTATGTGCCTTTCTTTATGCCAATGTCATGCTGTTTTGCTTACTACAGCTCTGTAACATATTTCTAAGTCAGGTAGTGTGATGCTCCTGTTTTCTCTTTATACCTTCAAGTCTCAAGACAGTGGGCATCGCACACAAAAATTATGGAGAAAAGGATCCCAAGACTCCCAGGGTCCAACATTAGATAACAGAGTGTTGGCCATGAACCAACCTCAAAGATTTCCATTGAGTAGAGGACAAGCACCCTCATTTCCTCACATCTCTCCTGTCCCGTGTTCTAGGAAACCCTTCAAGTAGTTGGCCTTCACCCACAGAACCAAGCTCCAAATCTGGTGAGTAAAGGACCCCTCTTATCTCTGCTTTTGGAAACCTGGGGAGGTGGAAGCCTTGGATGCAAGTGTTGGCTCAAACCTCCCAGCTCTGTGAATGAGGGCCTGTCTTCCACCATCTCTGAACTCCAGACACTCCAACAGTGAAAGGGATCTAGGGCCACCAAAGGGCTCAGCGAAGTCTCTTTACCTTTAATTTCCTGCAGGTGAGACCTCCTACAAGCTAGAAGAATAATTGCCAATCTGACATCCTTCTCAGGAAAAATGCAGTGTTTTTTCTGCCTGCATTCCTAACTGGAGGATAAATTCCCGGGGGCTTGAGAGAGGGAAGGGAAGGGAACATCTGATGAGGGTGGGTGTTTTAGAGAAGTTCCACTTGCCAAGGAATGAATTACTGTTGGTCATCAGGCAACCCTGGCTGACTCAGCAGAGCAAGAGCCTTGCCGTAACAGAGAACAGAGCTCATGCACGCACACTTCGACTCACTGACTCATTCAGCCACAGCCCCATGCTCAGGCTGTGCAGTGTGGAAGCTTTTCCTATTGTTGCCATAACAAATTTCCACAAGATTCGTGGGTGAAAACAAAACGGTTATTTAATTATCTTACAGTGCTGTAGCTCAAAGCATGACGTGCATGTCACTGGGCTAAAATCAAGGTGACAGCAAGGCTGCCTTCCCTCTGAGGGTTCCAGGCAAGAATCTGCTTCTCACTTTTCTCAGCTTCTAGAGGCTCCCATGTTCCTTGGCTCCTGGTACCCTTCCTCCTTCCTCAAAGCCCACAAAGACTGGTCACATCTCACATGGCATCACTCAGACCCTTCTTCCTTACCACACCTCTTTCTCTGAATGCTGCTCTCCCTTCTTCCCCTTCTTTTGAAAACTTGGGGATTCTATTGGGTTCACCAAGATGAAAATCCATCATAATCTCCCGGAAATCATCCAGGATACCCTCCTTTTAAGTTCAGCTGACTAGCAACCATAATTCCATCTGCAATCTTCATTCCTCCTTTCATGTAAAATAACATATTCACAAGCTATGGAGGCTAGGACATGGACATTTTTGGGGTGGGACAACATTCTCCTGCCTTCCACAAACAGTGAACAAGATGCATTTGGCCTCTGTTCTTGGGACACTGATCTTGCAGATGGTTAAATGGGAGGGCAGAAAATGTAGGCACAAGGGGACCAATAAATGAATGATCTATTGAGAAGCATCTGTGCATGAAATCTATTTATTTATGTATTTACCTACTTGTTTATTGAGACGGAGCCTTGCTCTGTCGTCCAGGCTAGAGTGCGGTGGCATGATCTCGGCTCACTGCAACCTCCACCTCCTGGGCTGAACGGATCTCCTCCCTCAGCCTCTCCAGTAGCTGGGATTACAGACCACAACCACCACGCCCGGCTAACTCTTTTTGCATATTTTCTGTAGAGAGGATGTTTCACCATGTTGGCCAGGCTGGTCTCAAATTCCCAACCTCAGGTGATCCAATAGCCTCTGCCTCCCAACACGCTGGGATAAGAGGCATGAGCCACGGGGCCAAGCCAAATTTTCAAATCAATAATAGATAATGCTGAGTGTATGATTTCAGGTGACAGAGAAGTTCTCACTAATCAGATATTTGTGACATTAATGAAAAACACGGATTGAACCCCTGAAAGATGGGCGGAAGGATTTTGCACACACAGCTGTCAGCCGTGAAGGCACAAAGGTGAAAATAATCTGATGTTGAAGGAAGAGGCTCTGCCTCAAATGCTGGGAATGACGTGGGGAGAATGACAAGACGACTGTAGAGAGACGGAGAGCACACTGGGTACACAGGAAACTAAGGAGCAACAAGGAGTGTGTGTTTGACACTCACAGCCATTGGACTCACCTCGGGGTAACCAGGAATCCCTACATGATTAATATGACTGACATGAAAATAAGGGAGGCCCAGGTGCGTAACTGGAATCTAGGAGACCGTGGAAAAGGCAATTCCCGCCCCACTGGTGAAATGTGGTGCTGATTTAGACACTAAATGAATGAAGTAGATGGATATAAGATATGTTTGTGAGGTAGAATCATTGGCTGGAAAGGCTTGCTGGGTTTGATTTTTTCCTGGTAGTTTAATCCTCGCTTCACTAACTTATTTCTGAGATTTATTTCTCCTGCATCTAAATCAATACCTGGCAGAGGAGGGAGAGCTAGATGAGGGGTGGTGCAAATGAAGGGACCTAGTATAGCATAATATACAAGGCTGTGAACGGTGGCTCACGCCTGTAACCCAGCACTTCAGGAGGCCAACGCGGGTGGATCACATGAAGTCAGGAGTTCGAGACCAGCCTGGCCAACATGGAGAAACCCTATCTCTACTAAAAATACAAAAATTAAACAGGCATGATGGTGGTGCATGACTGTAATCCCAGCTACTCTGGAGGAGGAAGCAGGAGAATGACTTCAGCCCTGGAGGCAGAGGTTGCAGTGAGTGGAGATCGCGTCACTGCACACCAGCCTGGGCTACACAGGGATACTCTGGCTCAAAAAATAAAAATAAAAAATACATAAATATAATAATATACACAAATGATGCAGGCACCTGAATTCCAATCATCATTTTTCTATTTCTCTATAATTACTTCTTTGATCCTTTATCTTATCCATTAGAAAATCAGCCTAAAACCTCTTCCATATTTGGCTTTCTGTGAACATGAGATCATATGGAAAATATGAAAGCCCCCTGAACCCACCAGCACAGGCCCTGAAATAGGGAAAGTGCTCTGTTCATCACAAGAAACTTGCCCCCTCACCCAAATCCCCCACCTCACCCCTACTTCCAATCACCTGTGGAGATACAGATAGATCATGGGGAGGTAAACGCTAATACTCCTTGGAGTGAGTTCAGATCTTGGAATCAGAGATCAGCACCAGCACTAGCTCCTGCTCCCCTTTCCTACTAATTCACAGGAGGACAGGTGGTTTTGAAGCAATAGATGGTGGAGGGGGTGGTCTTTCCCCCAGCCTCTCAGGTGGAACAGCAGCCTAACATGTGTCTCGCGAGATCACAAAGAGTAGCACGTTTCACATGGGCTTCATCATTATTTCCTGGCTGTTTGACATAAGAGAATTCTACTTTGCTTTTTTGATCTTGATTTCACTTTTGTGTCCTTTTCTTGGAGAATGTAATTTGAGTCAAGAGGGTTGTGGATGTAGAAACTGTAAAGCACATTCACTGTGTATCAATCCCAGTTCAGTCTTTCCAGAGAAGACTCTAAACACCTGCTGTACTGCACCTGGGCCTATGCAAATTTCTATCACTCACCGTCACTCCAGGGAGACAGAACACACAGAGAATACGTTACATAGGCAGGTTCATTACTAACAGATAAGCAGCGAGTGACAACAGAAGCCTACATTTCAATGTGAGCCAGTCCCTCAAGGCTCAGAAAAGCTTCTCGGGACATATGGAGTCACCTCATTTGCAGTGTATCTGGGGGAAGCCAGAAAATAGCCCAGCCTGGGTTTCGTACCCTGAAGCCACAGGAAGCACTCAGCTAAAGCACTGCATGACGTCCTCCTCCAGGAAGAACAGGAAGACAGCACAGGCTGTTCTGAGACGTTCCTCCTGATCTCAGGACGTTGCTGTCTTAGTCCATTTTTGTTGCTATAAAAGAACACTTGAGCCTGGGTTACTTCTTTTTTTTTTTTTTTTTTTGTATAGTGCTTCTGATGAGCTTTTTTTTTAAATTTTTATTATTATTATACTTTAAGTTTTAGGGTACATGTGCACAATGTGCAGGTTAGTTACATATGTATACATGTGCCATGCTGGTGTGCTGCACCCATCAACTCGTCATTTAGCATTAGGTATATCTCCTAATGCTATCCCTCCCCCCTCCCCCCACCCAACAACAGTCCCCAGAGTGTGATGTTCCCCTTCCTGTGTCCATGTGTTCTCATTGTTCAATTCCCACCTATAAGTGAGAACATGCAGTGTTTGGATTTTTGTCCTTGTGATAGTCTACTGAGAATGATGATTTCCAATTTCATCCATGTCCCTGCAAAGGACATGAACTCATCATTTTTTATGGCTGCATAGTATTCCATGGTGTATATGTGCCACATTTTCTTCATCCAGTCTATCATTGTTGGACATTTGGGTTGGTTCCAAGTCTTTGCTATTGTGAATAGTGCCACAATAAACATACGTGTCCATGTGTCTTTATAGCAGCATGATTTATAGTCCTTTGGGTTTATACCCAGTAATGGGATGGCTGGGTCAAATGGTATTTCAAGCTCTAGATCCCTGAGGAATCGCCACACTGACTTCCACAATGGTTGAACTAGTTTACAGTCCCACCAACAGTGTAAAAGTGTTCCTATTTCTCCACATCCTCTCCAGCACCTGTTGTTTCCCGACTTTTTAATGATCGCCATTCTAACTGGTGTGAGATGGTATCTCATTGTGGTTTTGATTTGCATTTCTCTGATGGCCAGTCATGGTGAGCATTTTTTCATGTGTTTTTTGGCTGCATAAATGTCTTCTTTTGAGAAGTGTCTGTTCATGTCCTTTGCCCACTTTTTGATAGGATTGTTTGTTTTTTTCTTGTAAATTTGTTTGAGTTCATTGTAGATTCTGGATATTAGCCCTTTGTCAGATGAGTAGGTTGCGAAAATTTTCTCCCATTTTGTAGGTTGTCTGTTCACTCTGATGGTAGTTTCTTTTGCTGTGCAGAAGCTCTTTAGTTTAATTAGATCCCGTTTGTCAATTTTGGCTTTTGTTGCCGTTGCTTTTGGTGTTTTAGACATGAAGTCCTTGTCCATGCCTATGTCCTGAATGGTAATGCCTAGGTTTTCTTCTAGGGTTTTTATGGTTTTAGGTCTAACGTTTAAGTCTTTAATCCATCTCAAATTAATTTTTGTATAAGGTGTAAGGAAGGGATCCAGTTTCAGCTTTCTACCTATGGCTAGCCAGTTTTCCCAGCACCATTTATTAAATAGGGAATCCTTTCCCCATTGCTTGTTTTTCTCAGGTGTGTCAAAGATCACATAGTTGTAGATATGTGGCATTATTTCTGAGGGCTCTATTCTGTTCCATTGATCTATATCTCTGTTTTGGTACCAGTACCATGCTGTTTTGGTTACTGTAGCCTTGTAGTATAGTTTGAAGTCAGGCAGCATGATGCCTCCAGCTTTGTTCTTTTGGCTTAGGATTGACTTGGCAATGCAGGCTCTTTTTTGATTCCATATGAACTTTAAGGTAGTTTTTTCCAATTCTGTGAAGAAAGTCATTGGTAGCTTGATGGGGATGGCATTGAATCTATAAATTACCTTGGGCAGTATGGCCATTTTCACGATCTTGATTCTTCCTACCCATGAGCATGGAATGTTCTTCCATTTGTTTGTATCCTCTTTTATTTCATTGAGCAGTGGTTTGTAGTTCTCCTTGAAGAGGTCCTTCATATCCCTTGTAAGTTGGATTCCTAGGTATTTTATTCTCTTTGAAGCAATTGTGAATGGGAGTTCACTCATGATTTGGCTCTCTGTTTGTCTGTTATTGGTGTATAAGAATGCTTGTGATTTTTGTACATTGATTCTGTATCCTGAGACTTTGTAGAAGCTGCTTATCAGCTTAAGGAGATTTTGGGCTGAGACAATGGGGTTTTCTAGATATACAATCATGTCATCTGCAAACAGGGACAATTTGACTTCCTCTTTTCCTAATTCAATACCCTTTATTTCCTTCTCCTGCCTAATTGCCCTGGCCAGAACTTCCAACACTATGTTGAATAGGAGTGGTGAAAGAGGGCATCCCTGTCTTGTGCCAGTTTTCAAAGGGAATGCTTCCAGTTTTTGCCCATTCAGTATGATACTGGCTGTGGGTTTGTTATAGATGGCTCTTATTATTTTGAGATACGTCCCATCAATGCCTAATTTATTGAGAGTTTTTAGCATGAAGTGTTGTTGAATTTTGTCAAAGGCCTTTTCTGCATCTATTGAGATAATCGTCCGGTTTTTGTCTTTGGTTCTGTTTATATGATGGATTACATTTATTGATTTGCATATATTGAACCAGCCTTGCATCCCAGAGCCTGGGCAACTTCTAGAGAAAACAGATTTGTTTGCCTCACAGTTCTGCAGGCTGTACTGGAAGCATGGCACCAGCATCTGTTTCCTGTGACGGCCTCAGGCTGCTCCCACTCTGGCAGAAGGGAAGGAGGGTCTGTCTGTGCAGAGACCACAGAGATCACATGGCAAGAGAGGGAGCAAGGGGGAGGGCGAGCGATGGAGCTTCCAAGCTCTTTTTAACAACCAGCCCTCCGGGAACTAATAGAGGGGGAACTTGCTAACCCCATCATGTGGGGCAGCATTAATCTATTCATGATGGATCCACCTCCATGACTCAAACACCTTCCCATAGGCCCAAACTTCCACACTGGGGGTTAAATTTCAATATTTCAGTGTGAGGTTTCAAAGGGTCAAACATCTAAACTAAAGCAGCTGTATCCTCAGCATGTTCTATGGTTTCTATGAGAGCTGTAACTGAGAAAGCAGGAGAAAGCTGGGTCTCCCGCCATCAGGCTGCTTGTCCTAAGGAGATGTTCCATGTGGTTACCTGTCAATCAAGAAATGAGACAATCCATAAAGAGGAACTGCTATGATTAGCTTCTTATTGGATTCCCATCTTCCTCCAGGTATCTGCAGACACCTGCATGTTCTGATTGGGACCTCAGTGGTCATCTTCCTCTTCATCCTCCTCCTCTTCTTTCTCCTTTATCGCTGGTGCTCCAACAAAAAGAGTAAGTCTCACGAAGCAGAGGCCAGAGAGCTCAGGGCCATGTGGGGAAGCAGGATGGGAGCACGCGGGTGTGTGTTCCTCACTGGCAGGATGGTCCCTGGCCCAAGGGAGGAGCCACAGAGGCAGGGCTTTCTAGAGAGAGCACCAGACAACCTGCCCCTGCCTTCAGCTCACAGACCATTGCCTGGTTCTGAACTGTATCCTCACATCCCCTGCAGCCACTGACATCCAGAAGCTTCCATGACAGGCAGAAAGTGGGAGACAGAATCAATGGGATGCCAATTGAGAGCACTTCATGGGATGGGGTCTTGAACTCAGAGAGATAGAATGTCTGAGTCTGGATGTTGGCAGCTGAAGAGCCTCAGGCACCTACAGCCTCCCCCTGTGGGTTGGTGTCTGCCCATGAAATGAGGACCCAGAAGGGCCCTCCAAGCGGTTTTGATGACTTCCGTCTCCTACAGATGCTGCTGTAATGGACCAAGAGCCTGCGGGGGACAGAACAGTGAATAGGCAGGTAGGTCCTCCTCGGCCCAGCCTCACGGATACAGTCTTATCCCTAATAGTCCTGAAAAATGTGAGCACCCTCCCTCACTCAGCATTTCCCTCTCTCCAGGACTCTGATGAACAAGACCCTCAGGAGGTGATGTACGCACAGTTGGATCACTGCGTTTTCATACAGAGAAAAATCAGTCGCCCTTCTCAGAGGCCCAAGACACCCCTAACAGATACCAGCGTGTACACGGAACTTCCAAATGCTGAGCCCAGATCCAAAGTTGTCTCCTGCCCACGAGCACCACAGTCAGGTCTTGAGGGGGTTTTCTAGGGAGACAACAGCCCTGTCTCAAAACCAGGTTGCCAGATCCAATGAACCAGCAGCTGGAATCTGAAGGCATCAGTCTGCATCTTAGGGGATCGCTCTTCCTCACACCACGAATCTGAACATGCCTCTCTCTTGCTTACAAATGCCTAAGGTCGCCACTGCCTGCTGCAGAGAAAACACACTCCTTTGCTTAGCCCACAAGTATCTATTTCACTTGACCCCTGCCCACCTCTCCAACCTAACTGGCTTACTTCCTAGTCCTACTTGAGGCTGCAATCACACTGAGGAACTCACAATTCCAAACATGCAAGAGGCTCCCTCTTAACACGGCACTTACACACTTGCTGTTCCACCTTCCCTCATGCTGTTCCACCTCCCCTCAGACTATCTTTCAGCCTTCTGTCATCAGTAAAATTTATAAATTTTTTTTATAACTTCAGTGTAGCTCTCTCCTCTTCAAATAAACATGTCTGCCCTCATGGTTTCGATAATGTGACTCTTTATTCGCCAAAAGTTTCCAGTGTTATCATTACTATGTCCATATAACCTGATATGTTCTCTACTGGGTTCTCAGCCCTGGACTCTGAGCTTCTGGAAGCAGGGTGGAGCCTCATTTGTCTCTGGGACTCCAATTTCCATCCAAAGATGCAGCACATAGGAGGTTCCAAGGATCGTGAATCACATGAACAAGTGATATTCTTACTCTCTGCAGACCTGGAAAGCTGGCAGAGTCATTCCAAGATGAAACATTTGTAGAGTCATAGGCCTTGTTAGTCTCATCTCCACAGGGACACATGTCAACACATCATCTTTCATACTATAAATATACAGTCGCTCCTCCATATCTGTGGGGTTTACAGGTGTTTATTGAACCAAATATAAATCAAAAATATTCAGAGAAAAAATCCACAAAGTTCCAAAAAGCAAAAATACTATATTGTGTGGACACAAGTGAGGTGGTGTGTAGGCTGTATCAGGAATTATAAGTAATCTAGAGATGATTTCATGTATACAGGAGGATGTGCATGGGTTATATGCAAACGCTGTGCCATTTCATGCAACAGGCTTGAGCATCTGCAGATTTTGGTGTCTGGTAGGGAGGGGGGTTTCCTGGAACCAATCACCCATGAATAGTGAAGGACTACTGTATATAATTTTCATTCATCAATTTTATAAATAAATCATCAAAATGTATGATAATAAGATAAAAAATTAGCAGTGTTTTTATGGTGTGAAAATAAGCTTAGATTTATTTTTTCCTGCTTGTAACCCTCTGGTCCAATGTTATTTACTGAGAAGACATTCTATTCCACCTTAATCCGCATGGCAGCCTCTGTCAACTATAAAAGGACTGTGTGTACACAGATGTATTTTACACACTCTTTTCTGCTCAGTGGCTCTCTGTGTCCACTCTCATGAGGATGCTGCACTTTATGTGGCCTTATAGAACCCCTTAAAATTTGGCAGCCTGAATCCTCTAATTTCTCCTTCCTCTTTAAGATTGCCATTATTATTATTATTGGCTATTTGCTTTTCCATGTAAATTTGTAATCATTTTTCTCATTTCCACCAAAAACAATGCTTGTAATTTTGTTGTGACTCCCTTACATCTACAGGTAAGTTCTGTCCTATAGAAACATAATGCAAACCACATGCATTCTTTCAAACTTGCTAGTATCCAAATTAAAAAGCTAACAAGAAACAGATAAAATTAATTTAAGTTAACCCAATGGACCCAAAATATTATTAACCCAACAGACCCAAAATATTAACCTAATAGATCCAAAATATTATTTTATTATACAAGTAGACTCAAAATATTATCATTTCAACATGTAATCATGTGTCATCTTGGAAAACATCAGATCCCTGTCTAGGTGGGCAAAGATTTTTCTTCGTAATATCTCATTTCCACATTTCCACTTGGCACAGAAACTGCCCCCAAGGCTCAGGATACTAAGATGCAGTAGGAATGGGTAGATGTATCTGGAGGAAAGTGACTGAATGAAATTGAGACATCAGAGTCTGGGGAACTCACTAGAACTACAGGGACAGTGTGGGGGAGGGAATTGGGAGATGTTGATCAAAGGATACAAACTATCAGGTATTCAGGAGGAATGGGTCTGAAGATCTCTTGTACAGCTTTGCCACTATGGTTGACAATACTGTACTCTATACTTGAAATTTACCAGGAAAGTAGATTTTTTTTTTTAAATATGGAACACTTCACGAATTTGCGTGTCATTCTTGCGCAGGGGCCATGCTAGTTTTCTCTGTATCGTTCCAATTTTAGTATATGTGCTGCCGAGGCAAGCATGGGAGAGTAGATTTTTTTTTTTTTTTTTTTTTTGAGCTGGAGTCTTGCTCTGTCACCCAGGCTGGAGTGCAGTGGCGCGATCTCGGCTCACCGCAAGCTCCGCCTCCTGGGTTCACGCCATTCTCCTGCCTCAGCCTCCCGAGTAGCTGGGACTACAGGCGCCCGCCACCACGCCCTGCTAATTTTTTGTATTTTTAGTAGAGACGGGGTTTCACTGTGTTAGCCAGGATGGTCTCGATCTCCTGACCTCGTG